>NC_000012.12:111702552-111854067 GCF_000001405.40 Homo sapiens
AACCCCGTTTCTACTAAAAATACAAAAAATTAGCTGGCTGTGGTGGCGCACATCTGTAATCCCAGCTATTTGGGAGGCTGAGGCAGGAGAATTGCTTGAACCTCAGGGGTGGAGGTTGCAGTGAGCTGAGATCATGCCATTGCACTCCAACTTGAGCAACAAGAGCGAAACTGTCTCAAAAAAAATAATAATAAAGTTATTTCTTTCACCCCTAGGTGTTCAATGTTCAATTCATATATGAATAACTAAAAATATTCTTAGCCAGGCGTGGTGGCTAACACCTGTAACTTCAGCACTTTGGGAGGCTGAGACAGGAGAAGTGTTTGAACTCTGGAGTTTGAGACCAGCTTAGGCAACATAGCCAGACCTTGTCTCTACTAAAAATCAAAAAAATTAGCCAGGCATGGTGGTGCACACCTGTGGTCCCAGCTATTCAGGAGGCTGAGGCTTGAGCCCTAGGGATTGAAACTTCAGTGAACCATGACCGTGCCACTGCACTCCAGCTTGGGCAACGTAACAAGACTCTGTCTCAAAAAAAAAAAAAAAAAAATTCTTTACTAAGTTCCTCCAGCATATATTTTTTTAATGTTTTCTGGTGTATTATAAAGGATGTTATGAAGGATACGAATGAACAGCCAGATGACAAGATACCTGGGGGCAAAGGTTTTAGAGCCACTGTGCCCTTTCCAGGCCTGCCACCCTCCTCCCAGCACCTCCATGCATTCAGCAACCTGAAAGCTCCCCTCTAATAGATACTAAAACAGGAGCTGTCTACATAATGGCTTTGATAAAAAAGCTTTTTTAAAGCAATAATAATATTGAACATTTTTTCTGTACTGTGCACTGTTCTAAGCTCTTTATATAACTCATGTAACCACAATAGCTCTACTAAAATATAATTTAAAATATAGTAAGAAAAGTTCTGTAGGTAGATGGTGATGATGGTGATGGTTGCACGACAACACGACTGTACTTAATGCCACTGCACTGTGTACTTAAAAATGGTCGAGTGCAGTGGCTCACACCTGTAATCCCAGCATTTTGGGAGGCCAAGGAGGGCGGATCACCTGAGGTCAGGAGTTCAAGACAAGCCCGGCCAACATGGTGAAACCCCATCTCTACTAAAAATACAAAATTTAGCCAGGCGTGGTGGTGGGCATCTGTAATCCCAGCTACTTGGGAGGCTGAGGCAGGAGAATTGCTTGAATCTGGGGGGCAGAGGTTACAGTGAGCCAGGATCAAGATCACACCACTGCACTCCAGCCTGGGTGACAGAGTGAGACTCCATCTCAAAAACAAAAACAAAAAAAGGTTAAAATGGTAAATTTTGTGTTACATATATTTTCCACAATTTATATATATATATATATATAAACATATATGTGTATATGTAATAGTAAACTTTGAAAACATTATGCAAAGTGAAAGAAGCCAGTCAAAAAAGACTGCATGGTGTATGATTCCATCTGTGTGAAATGTCCAGAATAGGCAAACCCATAGAGATAGAAAGTAGATTGGTGGTTTTCTAGTACAAGGAGACTTTGGGGGAAATGAGGAGTGACTGTTAATGGGTACGGTTTACTTTTTTTTTTTTTAATTTTTTTTTTGAGACACAGTCTCACTCTGTTGCCCAGGCTGGAGTGCAGTGGAGCAATCTCGGCTCACTGCAACCTCTGCCTCCCGGGTTCAAGCGATTCTCCTGCCTCAGCCTCCCGAGTAGCTGGGACTACAGGCGTGTGCCACCAGCTCCAGCCAATTTTTGTATTTTTAGTAGAGACGGGGTTTCACCATGTTGGCCAGGATGGTCTCGATCTCTTGACCTTGTGATCCGCCCACCTTGGCCTCCCAAAGTGCTGGGATTACAGGCGTGAGCCACCACGCCTGGCTGGTTTGCTCTTTAGAGTAATGAAAATGTCCTAAAATTGATGGCAGTGATGGTTGCACAACTTTGTAAATATATTAAAAACCATTGAATTGTACTCTTTAAATAGGTGACTTGCATGGCATGTGAATTAGAGTTCAGTAAAGCTGTTCTAAAATCTGTGTGTGTATATGTATATATAAAACAGCAGACTTGCCTTTGCAGATTTTGAAATGTGATAATATAAGAGTTTTCTTTCTTTCTTTCTTTCTTTCTTTTTTTTTTTTTTTTTGAGACGGAGTCTTGCTCTGTTGCCCAGGCTGGAGTGCAGTGGCATGATCTTGGCTCACTGCAACCTCCGTCTCCTGGGTTCAAGCAATTCTCCTGCCTCAGCCTCCCCAGTAGCTGGGACTACAGGTGCGTGCCACCACGCCTGGCTAATTTTTTGCATTTTTAGTAGATAAGGGGTTTCACCATGTTAGCCAGGATGGTCTCGATCTCCTGACCTCGTGATCTGCCTGCCTCAGCCTCCCAAAGTGCTGGGATTACAGGTGTGAGCCACTGCGCCCAGCCTTATAAGAGTTTTCAAAACCCACACAGATTGAATTTAAAAACAAGAAAAAAATTGATCAGAAACTAAAGTTCATAATGGTGATACTGAGGCAATATAAAAAGCATTAAATGACTTCTCAATCATTAAAAATTAAATTACATATACTTCATATACTTTTAGATTTCACTGTATCCTCTTATGATATGCTGTTTTTTTTTTCAACTAGCAATCCATGAGCAGAATAAAGAACTCATTTAATTGTAATATTGATATAAATAGCTCCATTCCCTACTGTGTTGCTCAGGCTAGAGTGCAATGGCTTGATCATAGCTCACTGCAGCTCCAATCTCCCAGGCTCAAGCCATCCTCCCACCTCAGCCTCCTGAGTAGCTGGGACCACAGGTATGTGCCACCAAGCCTAGCTAAGTTAAAAAAAAATTTTTTTTAGATCTCACTTTGTTGCCCAGGCTGGTGTCAAAATCCTGAGCTCAAGCAGTCTTCCCACCTCAGCCTCCCACAGTGCTGGGATTACAGGTGTGAGCCACTGTGCCCAGCCTATAACTCTAGTCCTGGATAACTTTTAAAAACCTTATATGAGAGTTCAGCACAGGGGCTGAGGAACACAGTTCCTGCAGGCAGCAAGCTATGAGCCTGGGCTCTTGTAGCAGAGAGCAGAAGGACGCCAGGAATAAGCATTTTTTTTTTCTGTTGGCCATGAGTGTTTGTCACTCTTAATGATTGCTGTTCTCCTGTGCCCTCTCCTGTTCTTAGTTAAAGACCTCCGTGCCTGTGGACTCATTTTTCTCTCTGTTGACCAGTGAGCGAGTGGCAAAGCAGTTCCCAGTGATGACTGAGGCCATAACTCAAATTCGGGCAAAAGGTCTTCAGACTGCAGTCTTGAGCAATAATTTTTATCTTCCCAACCAGAAAAGCTTTTTGCCCCTGGACCGGAAACAGTTTGATGTGGTAAGCTTGAGCTAATTGAAAACCATTGGAACAGAATCTGTGCCCTCGCTTCAGGGTGCAATGTTAAATGCTATCTTCCAGCAGGTCTTGAGTGAGGGAGTTTTTCCTTCAGCCACTTGACTAAGTTAGGTTTAAATGCAATATGTTGAAAACAGACCCTTTAAGATATCACTGTGTTCTTAGCAAGGTCAGACATTTATGGCATTTGATTACTGGTTGACACTTCAGCTTTACATTCTAAATTCGAACCTTAGTCTTCATATAACACAAGCATCTCTGTCAGCCCTCATATCGTAATGGATCCTTTGGCCTTTTCTAAGACCAACTATGTTGCCTTCTATTTCTGTGACGTTAGTTCCTAGACCAGTGCTGTCCAATAAAATTTTACTGCCTTCCTCGGCCTGATTTACTTCCATACTAAATCCATCTGCTCCATGTGTGTATCCCAACCTGTCATGTGATAAACCTATCGTTTTGACATGCTTGGCTATATTTGGGTACTTTACCTATTTATTTATTTTTATTTTTTTATTTTGAGATGGAGTCTCGCTCTGTAACCCAGGCTGGAGTGCAGTGGCACAATCTCAGCTCACTGCAACCTCTGCTTCCCAGGTTCAAGTGATTCTCATGCCTCAGCCTCCTGAGTAGCTGGAATTACAGATGTGTGCCACCATGCCTGGCTAATTTTTATATTTTTAGTAGAGACGGGGGTTTCACCATGTTGGCCAGGCTGGTCTCGAACTCCCAACCTCAAGTGATCCACCCACCTCAGCCTCTCAAAGTGCTGGGATTACAAGTATGAGCCACCGTGCCTGGCCTATTTATTTTTTTATATATATATATATATATATTTTTTTTTTTGAGACCATCTCACTCTGTTGCCCAGGCTAAAGTACAGTGGCACCATCTCGGCTCACTGCAGCCTCCACCTTCCAGGCTCAAGCAGTTCTCCTGCCTCAGCCTCCTGAGTAGCTGTGATTACAGGCATGCACCACCACCCCTGGCACCACCACCCCTGAATTTTTAGTAGAGACAGGGTTTCACCATGTTGGCCAGGCTAGTCTCGAACTCCTGACCTCAAGTGATCTGCCCACCTCAGCCTCCCAAAGTGCTGGGATTACAGGCATGAGCCATCGTGCCTGGCCCCTATTTGGGTACTCTCTTTTTTTTTCCTTGAGAGAAGGTCTCTCTCTGTCGCCCAGGTTGGAGTTCAGTGGCGCAATCTCAGCTCATTGCATCCTCCACCTCCTGGGCTCAAGCAATTCTCGTGCCTCAGCCTCCTAGTAGCTGAGACTACAGGTGCATGCCACCACGCCTGGCTAGTTTTTGTGTTTTTTATGAATATTAGAGACTGGGTTTCACCCTGTTGGCCAGGGTGGTCTCAAACTTCAGACCTCAAGTGACCAACCCACCTCAGCCTCCCAAAGTGCTGAGATTACAGGCATGAGCCACTGTGCCTGGCCCTATTTGGATACTTTAAAAATGTTTGTTTTTGTCTTATAACCAACAGCAGTGATAATTCCCTTTAGAAACTCCAAAGCCCAGATTGGCAGTTGATCTTCCAGCACCTTTTAGAGTTGTGATGGATCAGAAGGACCCTTCCCCTGGCCCATTCCTCCAAGGATATTCTGAGTCAGTGCAAAAGGGAACAGCTCATGAAATATAGTGAGAGTCATGGTAGCCTCTAGAACACATCAGATTAAATTTCTCTGATAACTCAAGTATTGGACATTTTGCTACCAGAGCCCCTTTCTGATTCTTTCCATCTTTGGAAGAGCTACTTTTGCTGGACTCCAGGAAGTGGCATATTACCTTAGCCCTACATCTGCCTATGCCTGGGTGTATTTGTACCCTTCGTTGGGCCAGTGAGATTAAAGATTTTCAACTCTGCCTACACATCACATGACCTGGGAGTTTGTAAAGATGCTGGGTCTGTTTCCCTGGAGGCTTTCATTGAGTATGTCTAGTTGGGATCCAGGCATGTGTATTTCGAAAAAGCTCCACAGGTGATTCTGCCTTGCAGCTGGGGTGAGATACCCCAAGACGCAGTGAGGGACTTCAGATTCTGTCCATGCTTTTCTCTTATCAGACAGCCTCTGTCATGCTTACCTTGAGAAGGAGGCTTCCCCTCCATCTTCCTGGGATAGAGCCTTGATAAATAAAATCATTTTTATCTGATCTACATTTGGAAAAACACTGACCTTGTTCCCACAGTTCCTGCTTTGCCAAGAAAGTAATAGAAGCCCTGAATAAGTTCATGCCATCATGTGCAAAATAAGAAAGAGAAGGCTAGAGATCTTATCAAATAAATCTTAAGAATTTATTTTACTTCCCCCAGATGTAATTCACCTAGTGAGAGGAGCCGA
The DNA here is from genome assembly GCF_000001405.40 of Homo sapiens. Classification (NCBI taxonomy): domain Eukaryota; kingdom Metazoa; phylum Chordata; class Mammalia; order Primates; family Hominidae; genus Homo; species Homo sapiens. The sequence continues at coordinate 111,708,299 of NC_000012.12, forward strand.
ATGCTTCCTGGAACTTTGCCCCATCCCCCCCAATTCCCTCCACTCTCCTAGCTCTTGTCTCAGCCAGTACAGCTCTGCCACTTCCATCTGGTACGTTACATCGACTGGTGTCTGAAACACCCTGCTTCTGTACTTCTCACTATTGACGTTTTCTTTAGGGTAGCCTCTTAGACTTTTTTTTTTTAGCTCATTCAGGTCCTTAGGAGACAAGAGAAAGTAGAAAGGTCCAGTTTATTCCAGACATTTATTTACCTGAAAGGGCAGTTCTCACCCAACCCAGAATGCAAGTGTAGGGTAGAGAGAGGGGCCACTGGGTTTGTCCTTGGCCTTGGAGAGCTTGGGTCATTCCAAGTGGCAAGTCAGAGATTTAGTTCTGTTCTTAGGGCAGATCAGAGGGTATTGGTTATAGGCTATGTGGCTATAGGAGATTGGGCCCACTCTATAGGAGATTACGCCCTGGGGACACTGTAAAAGGACTTTCGGGGAATCAGTGGATCAGAGACAGCCTGACACTGAGAAGGCTTTCCCGTGTTCTCCTGAACTCTCACCAGCACCCTCCACCCATTACGGATCAGATATGTGGCTGAAGCAAGGTCGTCAGAGTACAGGAGCCTCTTAGCATGTCAGGAACAGTGTCAGCCCTCCCATGGAATTTCTGTCTAAATGGAGTATGGATGGGTTTTTAACCTCTGAAATAAACACTAAGTTCGTATTTATTTTATACCTGTAATAGTGTCTTCTTTCTGCAAAAAAAAAAAAAAATGGCGAAATGCTTTCCGTCAAACTGACATGTACAGCTTTTCTTCTGCTCTGTTTAGCCCCAAGATGTGACATTAGCCAAATGCTTTGTCATTTTGGAACCCACTTAAGTTTCATTTAAGTTTCACAACTTACTGAGCTAAGATAGGTACGATGACTATTAATATTATTCCCATTTTATTGATGATGGCACTGAGGCCCATTATGGCTTTGCTCGTTTGCACAGGGTCACAGTGTCTGAAACAGACACTTTGGTTTCTCGAGTTTGCCCCCACGTTGTAACCCAGTATTGTCAAATTACTCAATGTAAGAAGGCAACATCATTTTATATCATAACACTCTTAAATTACTTGTTATAATAAATCTCAACTGTCCTTCTTATGCTTTTCCTCTCAAAAAGTTTACCAGCATGCATGTGGGAGCTCCACCTTTCGGGACATTCATCTCTCATTCCTGTCCCTCCATCAGATTGTGGAGTCCTGCATGGAAGGGATCTGTAAGCCAGACCCTAGGATCTACAAGCTGTGCTTGGAGCAGCTCGGCCTGCAGCCCTCTGAGTCCATCTTTCTTGATGACCTTGGAACAAATCTAAAAGAAGCTGCCAGACTTGGTATTCACACCATTAAGGTAATAGTCACTAATTTTTGAACTCCCTCCCATGCACCAGCCACTAATGCAATGTTTCTCTGTAATCTTTTTACATTTGTAGCTCTAGCTTTCCTTAGGGTTTCCCCCTGTGTTTCCATAGTCATCTTATTTTGTGTTAATTATGAAATCTATGTGACTAGCTGCTTGTATTTTCAATGGGAAGCAAGACAAACAGGTACTGCGAAGGCAGGTTGAGAAAAGAGATGGGAAAGGAGGTGAATGGCAGGCTTAAGACCTTTGTGGGGGTGTTCACACTGTCCTCATGATCCAGTGATGCTGCCTTAAGTGGGGAGCCAGTGGCCACCAGCCATGCAGGCCATGCAGCTCACTGCTGTAAAGCACGAGAAGCCATGTGAGGGGGTCTCATGCCAACTTTTTTCTATTCTTTTTTTTTTTTTTTCTCATACAGGGTCTTGTTATGTCACCCAGGCTGGAGTGCAGTGGTGCAATCATAGCTCACTGTAGCCTCAACCTCCTGGGCTTAAGTGATCCTCCTACCTCAGTCTCCTGAGTAGCTGACCAGAGGCATACACCACCACACCCGACTAATTTTTGTATTTTTTGTAGAGACAGGGTTTTGCCGTGTTGCCCAAGCTGGTGTCGAACTCCTGGGCTCAAGCGATCTACCCACCTTACCCTCCCAAAGTGGTGAGATTACAGGTGTGAGCCACCATGCCTGGCTTCTATTCTTCTATGTTTGGGTTTTCATCGTCGAGCTGATGGGCCTGTAGGGTAAGAGCAAACGTTGTAACATAATCTTCTTTCTTCTTGGCACAAGAGGGTATTGTGAAATTTTTTTTTTTTTTTGAAACAGAGTTTCACTTTGTCACCCAGGCTGGAATACAGTGGCATGATCTTGGCTCACTGTAACCTCTGCCTCCCTGGTTCAAGCAATTCTCGTGTGTCAGCCCCCTGAGTAGCTGGGACTATAGGCGCACGCCACCATGCCCGGTTAATTTTTTGTATTTTAGTAAAGACAGGGTTTCACCATGTTGCCCAAGCTGGTCTCAAACTCCTAAGCTCAGGAAATCTGCCCGCCTCGCCTCCCAAAGATTCACGGCCTCACCACGCCCGGCCGTGAATCTTTTTTGAGATGAGGTCTTGCTAGGTTGCCGAGGGCTTTGAACTCCTGGACTCCAGCAGTCCTCCCACCTCAGGCTTCCCAAGTGGCTGGAACTGTGGGTGCACACCATCATGCCTAGCTGTTTTGTGAACCGTTGACCAGTGCTTCTCTCTGCAGGATAGAAAGTTCAGTGTGGTTAGGAGTTAAATGGGAAGAGGAAATGCATTCTACTGCTCCCTCATTAGCTAAATATCCTGGGTTCGAAGGCCTTCCTCAGAGTACTGACTTCTTTGATAATTTCCCTCTAAAGGACTACCCTTTGTAAAAAGTAAAGTAGAGGTTCTTCTTTAAAGACTTTCCTTATTATTTAATTAGGAATAAATAGTAACTTCTTTTAGAAGCAAAATTTATTTAAAGACCTGTGCTAAATTTTTTGTTGTTGTTGTTGTTGAGACGGAGTCTCATTCTGTCGCCCAGGCTGGAGTGCAGTGGTGCAGTCTTGGCTCACTGCAAGCTCCACCTCCTGGGTTCACGCCATTCTCCTGCCTCAGCCTCCCAAGTAGCTGGGACTACAGGCATCCACTACCACGCCCAGCTAATTTTTTTGTATTTTTAGTAGAGACAGGGTTTCACTGTGTTAGCTAGGATGGTCTCGATCTCTCGATCTCCTGACCTCGTGATACGCCTGCCTCGGCCTCCCAAAGTACTGGGATTACAGGCGTGAGCCACCACACCCAGCTGACCTGTGCTAAAATTTTTTTTTTTTTTTTTTTTGAGATGGAGTCTTGCTCTTTCGTCCAGTCCAGACTGCAGTGGTCCTATCTTGGCTCACTGCAAGCTCCATCTCCTGGGTTCGCACCATTCTCCTGCCTCAGCCTCCCAAGTAGCTGGGACTACAGGCGCCTGGCTAATTTTTTGTATTTTTAGTAGAGACGGGGTTTCACTGTGTTAGCCAGGATGATCTCGATCTCCTGGCCTCGTGATCCACCCGCCTTGGCTTCCCAAAGTGCTGGGATTACAGGCGTGAGCCACCGCGCCCAGCTATGCTAACATTTTTAAATATTTGCTAGCTGCAATAAAGAAATTAATGTATTTTATGTTTTTAGTTCCTGCAATTTAGTCTAAATATTTGCCTTGGCCTGCTAATACTGGTCCAAGCAAGTATTGGGTCATAGCTTGTTCCTCTTCTTTATTTGAAGGTGTTTTTATTTTTCTCAGCATTTTACAAGTTACTTCCTTCTTCCTTTGTTTTCCTCTACCTTTGCCTCTTTTAAAAAGTTTTAAGTTGCTAGCCAATTAGGACAAATACAGAATGTAAAGTCTCGTTCCAGCCAATGGAAACTGGACACAGCAGTAGGATGGATGCGTCAGCTTATAAATGACCCTGTCTCCTTTGTTTGGTGTACTGTTGTGGCAAAACTGCTGGTGAGTGTACCCTTTCTGCAGGAAGTAAAAATGGCCTTGCTGAGTAAATTAAATTTATGTTCAAGTGCTATGTCTTTGTGGCACCGGGGAACAAACATTTCAGACACCTCCTAGGAAACAGATAGGAGCCCCTGAGGCCAGGATTGACTGCTGGCACCTGTTCAATATATATTCTCTGCACCTGTACTACCATGAATTGTAAAATTAAAAATATATACGTGTATATATTCTCAACATCCTGTGAAAGGAAGGGAAAAATAACAACAACAAAAAATATACATCTACATATTCTCTCTGAAACCAGGTTAATGACCCAGAGACTGCAGTAAAGGAATTAGAAGCTCTCTTGGGTTTTACATTGAGAGTAGGTGTTCCAAACACTCGGCCTGTGAAAAAGACGATGGAAATTCCGAAAGATTCCTTGCAGAAGTACCTCAAAGACTTACTGGGTATCCAGACCACAGGTATGTGGGCTTCTTTCATGTTTTGGTAGCTCTCTCCAAGGCGAAGGTTTTGGTCTGTTTCTCACTTTTCAACCCTAATGGAATGGGCTGGAGACAAAGAAGCTTTACAGTGAGGAAAATAGCCATTGGGCCTGGTGCATCGGAGCACTGCTTTCAGTTTTGCTTGGGAAAAAGCATTAACTTCCCTATTTATGCATCTCCAAAAGTGTACCTATCCCACTCTTACACCTGAGAGTGTGGTATGGCAGTGGTTGCCTGCTTTCAACAGGGAGAGGAACTTGGGGACTGCAGTGTGTGCTCAGAGGATTTTACAGTTTCTAATGCTTTGAGACGACAGCCCATTTTGTGAAGACGACTTAGAAGTTACATCGGCAGGCGGGTGCGGTGGCTCACGCTTGTAATCCCAGCACTTTAGGAGGCCAAGGCAGGTGGATCGCGAGGTCAGGAGTTTGAGACCAGCCTGGCTAACTTGGTGAAACCCTGTCTCTACTAAAAATACAAAAATTAGCTGGGTGTGGTGGTGGGTGCCTGTAATCCCAGATACTCGGGAGGCTGAGGCAGGAGAATTGCTTGAACCCAGGAGGTGGAGGTTGCAGTCAGCCGAGATCGTGCTACTGCACTCCAGCCTGGGTGACAGAGCAAGACTCCATCTCGGGGGGAAAAAAAAAAAGAATTTGCATTGCTGACCGGGGCGTAGTGGCTCACTTCTGTAATTCCAGCATTTTGGGAGGCCAAGGCAGGTGGATAACTTGAGGCCAGGAGTTCGAGACCAGGCTGACCAACATGGTGAAACCTTGACTCTACTAAAAATACAAAAATTAGCTGGGTGTGGTGGTGCACAACTATAGTCCCAGCTGCTCTGGAGACTGAGGCACAACAATTGCTTGAACCTGGGAGGCAGAGGTTGCAGTGAGCCAAGATTGTGCCACTGCACTCCAGCCTGGGTAACAGAGTGAGACTCCATCTCAAAAAAAAAAAGGAAAAGAAAAAAAAAAAGGGCTGGGCGCAGTGGCTCATGCCTGTAATCCCAGCACTTTGGGAGGCTGAGGCAGGCGGATCACCTGAAGTCAGGAGTTCGAGGTCAGCCTGGCCAACATGGCAAAACCCCATCTCTACTAAAAATATAAAAATTAGCTAGGTGTTTTGGCGGGCGCCTGTAATCCCAGCTACTTGGGAGGCTGAAGCAGGAGAATTGCTTGAACCTGGGAGACTGAGGTTACGGTGAGCTAAGATAGTGCCACTGCAGGCCTGGGTGACAGAGCAAGACTCCGTCCCCCCCCCAAAAAAAAAAGGAAAAATAATGTTGCTGGGTGTGGTAGCTCACCCCTGTAATCCCCAGTACTTTGGGAGGCCGAGATGGGCGGATCATCTGAGGTCAGGAGTTTGAGAGCAGCCTGGCCAATATGGCGAAACCCCATCTCTACTAAAAATACAAAAATTAGCCGGGCATGGTGGCACATGCCTGTAGCCCCAGCTACTTGGGAGGCTAAGACAGGAGAATCACTTGAACCTGGAAGGTGGAGGTTGCAGTGAGCTGAGATCATGCCACTGCACTGCAGCCTGGGCAGCAGAGCAAGGCTCTGTCTCCAAAAAAAAAAAAAAAAGTTGCATGATTTTAAAACGCAACAAATTGTCTCCATTTCTTGGAGACAAGTTTTCTCTTTCCTCCTTCACATTCCCCCCTCAGAAAACCAGGTGCCTTGTGTGCTTTAGAGGACACTTTTGGGCCAGGGGTGGTGGCTCATGCCTGTAATCCTACCACTTTGTGAGGCTGAGGTGGGCAGATCACTTGAGGCCAGGAGTTTGAGACCAGCCTGGTCAACATGGCGAAACTCCATCTCTACTAAAAATACAAAAATTAGCCGAGTGTGGTGGCGCATGCCTGTAGTCCCAGCTACTGGGGAGGCTAAGGCAGAATCGCTTGATCCCAGGAAGCAGAGGTTGCAGTGAGCTGAGATCACGCCACTGCACTCCAGCCTGGACGACAGAGGGAGAGTCCATCTCAAAAACAAAAGAAAACAAAAAAGAAGACTTACAAAATTTTTTAAATTAAATTAAATTAAATTTTTTTTGAGATGGAGTTTTGCCCTTGTTGCCCAGGCTGGAGTGCAATGGCATGATCTCAGCTCACTGCAACCTCCGCCTCTTGGGTTCTAGTGATTCTCCTGCCTCAGCCTCCCGAGTAGCTGGGATTACAGGCACCCACTACCATGCCTGGCTAATTTTTGTATTTTTAGTAGTAGAGACGGGGTTTCACCACGTTGGTCAGGCTGGTCTCAAACTCCTAATCTCAGGTGATCTACCCGCCTTGGCCTCCCAAAGTGCTGGGATTACATGAGCCTCCGCACCTGGCCAAAGAAGACATTTTTCCCAGGTAATAAAGGCTTCACCCACTTGCTCCGTGAAAAAGGCTTTTATTGATGGAGTTTCATGTTAGGATGTTTTCCAGCAATTGGATTATTGGTAGTGGCCTCTGCACAGCTGAGGCGCCCACTCTGGCCAGCCAGAAGAACTCAGGCCGAGTTCTGTTGCTTGCCTACTCTTCTAACCAAGTGAAATCAGTCTATACCCAGGGTTCAGTCTTCTTATGGAGCTGAGAATGAATTAGTTTCACCTCAGCCAGGATCCTGCAAGGGAGCCACAGAATTCAGCCTAGTGCAGTGGGAAATTACATCTCATGAAAGCAGCTTTGGGTCAGGCCGAAGGCCTCTGTGTCACTCCTTTCAGCTGTCCCAGCAGTGTCAGGCAGAGGGACGTGCAAGGGCACCTTTCATCCTCAGGCTTAAAGCATTCCATTTGGCAAGATGGGTTGCCATGGCTGCGTTTGTGCTTGATAAACAGAATGAACATGTTTTTATTCATGGAGCAGGAGCTGGCAGGAAGGACAAAATTGGACACCTGCACAAACTGAGAAAATTACTGTGGTATAAAATGAATGGCCTTTGACAAACTGTAGTGGCATGTGATCCTGGACCTGAGTTGGCGGAGTGTAGACCTGGGACTCAGTCACTCCTAGTAGGCAGAGAAGAGGTACTTTTCTTGCACTGCATGGCAGATGAGGATATTTTGAAGCCCAAATGCAGAACTCATTAGAAAGAAAGAATGTCTGCTCAGATCTGTCCTCCAGGGCTGGTTTGAGTTTTCTTTGTTTTCAAACTTGCAGGCCCATTGGAACTACTTCAGTTTGATCACGGGCAGTCAAATCCAACTTACTACATCAGGCTGGCTAATCGTGATCTAGTTCTGAGGAAGAAGCCCCCAGGGACACTCCTTCCATCTGCCCATGCCATAGAGAGGGAGTTCAGGTAAGTTTTCAGGGCCAGGGGAGCACTTGCCCACTAGCCTCCACTGTGCACAAGCTCAGCCCTAAACTGAAAAGTCAGCACTCCATAAAAATACCCCAAGACATTTAAAACTACAATTATGGGCCAGGCTTGGTGGGTCACACCTATAATCCCAGTGCCTTGGGAGACCGAGGCAAGAGGATCATTGAGCCCAAGAGGTCAAGACCAGCCTAGGCAATGCAGCAAGACCCTGTTTCTACCCCCCATCCCCCCCCAAAAAAAAGCCTGGGTGTGCTGGCATGAACCTGTAGTCACACCTACTCAGGAGGCTGAGGTGGGAGGATTGCTTGAGCTGGGAGGTTAAGGCTACAGTGAGTTACTGTGGCATCATTGCACTCCCACCTGGGAGACATTGTGAAACCCTGCTCCAATCCCCCAAAAAGCCAAATGTAAATTAGAACTATTCTGGAAAACAATATGATACAATTTATTAAAAGCCTCAGCGTTTTCATACTTTCAGACCTAATAATTCCAATTCTGGGGCTCTGTCTTAAAGAAATAATTCTAAGTAGGGGGAAACAGCTGTATGTATTAATATGCTCACCATAAAGTTGTTTAATAATAAGAATTTGGAAGGCCAGGAGCAGTAGCTACCATAGTCCCAGCACTTTGGGAGGCTGAGGCAGGTGGATGACTTGAACTCAGGAATTGAAGACCAGCCTGGACAACATAGTGAAAACCTGTCTCTACCAAAAATACGAAAAATTAGTTGGGTGTGGTGGCACATACCTGTAGTTCCATCTACTCAGGAGGCTGAGGTGGGAGGATCTCTTGAACCTGGGAGGTGGAAGCTGCACTGAGCCGAGGTGGGCACCACTGCACTCCAGCCTGGGTGACAGAGCGAGACTGTGTCTCAAGAAACAAACAAAAGAGTTTGGAAACTACTTAAATATACTATAATCTGTACCATAATCAGGAAATAATTAAGTAAACCTTGGTATATATACTGTCGCAATGACAGTAATAGTAATAGCTAACATTTATCGAATGGTTAATATGTGCCAGGCACTAAAATAAATGCTTCGAATGTCTGTTACTGCAGAGCATCCTCACAACTCTATGATATGTTACAATTATAGTCCTCATTTACAACTGGGAAAAGTAAGCCTTAAAGAAACCAAGGCAGGCAGATTTGCTTTGAGCTCAGGCGTTCGAGCCCAGCCTGGGCAACATGGTGAAACCCTGACTCTACAAAAAATACAAAAATTAGCCGGGTGTTGGTGACTTGGACCTGTAGTCCCAGTTACATGGGAGGCTGAGGCTGGAGAATCACTTGAACCCAGGAAGCAGAGGTTGTAGTGAGCTGAGATCGTACCGCTGCACTCACAAAGTGAGACCCTGTCTCAAAAAAAAAAAAAAAAAAAAATTAACCAGCATACCCAGGGTCATAAAACTAGTAAGCAAGTGCTAGAGTCTGGCTTTATAGCCAGTCTGTGAGATTTCATAGCTCACCTTTAATGATTATGCTGTTATTGCAGCTAATAAAAGTATGCCTATAATAACAAATGTGTATGATAAAATTTTAAGATAGTAAAGGCAGATACAAACTGCATATATAGTATTAGCTGATTTTTTTTTTTTTTTTAGGCAGAGTGTCACTATTGTCCAGGCTGGAGTACAGTGGTGTGATGATACCTCACTATAATCTCGAACTCCTGGGCTCAAGTGATTCTCCGCCTCAGCCTCCCAAATACTACAGGCACATGCCATCATGCCTGGCTAGTTTTAAAAATTTTTTTGTAGAGATGGGGCCTCACTATATTGCCTGAACTCTTGGCCTCAAGCAATCCTCCCACCTTGGCCTCCCAAAGTATTGGGGATTACAGGCATGAGCCAGCGTGCCTGGCCAAGGTTTTTGATTATTAATTCAATTTAACAAAAATGTTGTTACTCAGATATTTTATTTCATCTTGTTTTAGATTTGGTAAGTTGTAATTTCTAAGGAGTCTGTTCATATCACCTAAGCTGTTGAATTTATGATTTATAATATTCCCTTACTATCCTTTTAATATACGTAGGATCTATAGTGATATCCTTTTTTTTTTTTTTTTTTTTTTTTTTTTTTTGAAATGGAGTCTTGCTTTGTCATCCAGGCTGGAGTGCAGTGGCATGATCTTGGCTTATTGCCACCTCCATCTCCCAGGTCCAAGTGATTCTCCTGCCTTAGCCTCCCAAGTAACAGGGATTATAGTCACACGCCACCATGTCCAGCTAATTTACTATTTTTAGTAGAGATGGGGTTTCCCCATGTTGACCAGGCTGGTCTACAACCCCTGATCTCAAGTGATTCACCTGCCTCGGCCTCCCAAAGTGCTGGGATTACAGGCGTGAGCCACTATGCCCACCCTAGTGATATCCTTTCTTTATCACTGCTGGTATTAACTGATAATTTGTATTCTCTCTCTCTTGTTAGTCTAGCTAGGGATTTATCAATTACATTGATCTGGGAACCACAGTTTGGTTTTGTTACTTTTTTCTATTGTTTGTTTTGTTTTGAGGCGGAGTTTTTGCTCTGTCACCCAGGCTGGAGTGCAGTGGCGCAATCTCGGCTCACTGCAACCTCTGCCTCCCAGGTTCAAGTGATTCTCCTGTCTCAGCCTCCTGAGTAGCTGGGATTACAGGCATGCGCCACCATACCCAGGTAATTTTTGTATTTTTAGTAGAGATAGGGTTTCACCATGTTGGTCAGGCTGGTCCGAACTCTTGACCTCGGGTGATCCGCCTGCCTTGGCTTCCCAAAGTGCTGGGACTACAGGTATGAGCCTCTGCGCCTGGCCTGTTTTTCTTTTCTAATACAAGCATTTAAATATATAACTTTTAAGGCTGGGCGCAGTGGCTCCCACTTGTAATCCCAGCACTTTGGGAGGCCGAGCCAGGTGGATCACCTGAGGTCAGGAGTTCAAGACCAGTCTTGCCAACATGGTGAAACCCTGTCTCTAATAAAAATACAAAAGTAAGCCAAGTGTGGTGGTGCACACCTATAGTCCCAGCCAATCTCGAGGCTGAGGCAGGAGAATCTCTTGAACCCAGGAGGCAGAGATTGCAGTGAGCGGAGATTGCAGTGAGCCAAGATTGTGCCATGGCACTCCAGCCTGGGCAACATAATGAGACTCTGTCTCAAAAAAAAAAGAAAAGAAAAAAAGAAGTGCATTGTTTAATTTTCAAATATTTGGGGGTTTTTTTCTTGATATTATATGTGAATGAATTCTAGTTTAATTCCATTGAAGTCTGACAAATACCCTGCAAGATTTCAATTTTTTGGTTTTTTTTGAGATGGAGTCTTGGTCTGTCACCCAGGCCGTAGTGCAGTGGTGCGATCTTGGCTCACTGCAGTCTCCACCTCCTGGGTTCAAGCAATTCTCCTGCCTCAGCCTCCTCAGTAGCTCGGACTACAGGCACATACCACCATGCCTGGCTAATTTTTGTATTTTTAGTAGGTATGGGGTTTCACCACTTCGGCCAGGATGGTCTCAATCTCCTGACCTCATGATCCACCTGCCTCGGCCTCCCGGAGTGCTGGGATTACAGGCATGAGTCACTGCGCCCGGCCTTTTGTTTGTTATTTTTTGAGATGCAGGTTTGCTCTTGTCGCCCAGGCTGCACTGCAGTGGCATGATCTTGGTTCATTGCAACCTCCGCCTCCTGGGTTCAAGTGATTCTCCTGCCTCAGCCTCCTAAGTAGGTACAATTAAAGGCATGAGGCACCATGCCCGGCTAATTTTTGTATTATTTTTATTATTTTTTGAGACAGAGTCTCGCTCTGTTGCCCAGGCTGGAGCGCAGTGGCACGATCTCGGCCCACTGCAAGCTCCGCCTCCCAGGTTCACGCCATTCTCCTGCCTCAGCCTCCCGAGTAGATGGGACTACAGGTGCCCACCACCACTCCTGGCTAATTTTTTGTATTTTTAGTAGAGACGGAGTTTCACCATGTTAGCTAGGATGGTCTCGATCTCCTGACCTCGTGATCCACCCGCCTCAGCCTCCCAAAGTGCTGAGATTGCAGGCATGAGCCACCAAGCCTGGCCCTAATTTTTGTATTTTTAATAGAAATGGGGTTTCGCCGTATTGGCCAGGCTGGTGTTGAACTCCTGACCTCAGGTGATCCGCCCGCCTCGGCCTCCCAAAATGCTGGGATTATAGGCATGAGCTAGTGTGCTGGGCTAGATTTTAATTTTTATTGAAATTTTTTGAGATTTATTTTATGGACCAGCACATGACTTATCTTGGCGAACATATTGTGTTTACTTGAAATAATGTGTATTTTGCAATATCTGAGTGAGTGGTATACAAATGTCCATCAGATCAAGTTGGTAGTGGGTTCAGATGTATGTCTTTAGATAAATCTATTTTTGTCTAATTCTATCATTACTGAGAAAGGAGTGTTAAAAGCTCAACTAAGACTTGTGGATTTCTCCATTTTTTTCTCTTTAATTTTGATCATTTTTACTTGATATATTTCGAAGCTCTGTTGTTTAGCACATACATACTTATGATTGTAATATCTTTCTGATGAACTTGCAGTTGTATCATTTTCAAATGTCCCTCTTTATCTCTGGTGGTACACTGTCGTAAAGGCTGCTTTATTTGATATTAAAGTAGCCTCACCAGCTTTCTTATGCTTAGTGATTGCATAATGCTTCCATTTCCATCCTTGTTTTTGCAGCCTATCTATGTTTATATATTCAGCGCATATCTCTTGTAGACATCATATAATTAGGTCATGTTTTTCTGTCCAGGCTGAAAACATCTGTCTTTTATTTTTATTTTATTTCTTTTATTTATTTTATTTTATTTTTTTTTGAGATGGAGTCTCGCTCTGTCACCCAGGCCGGAGCACAGTGGAGCGATCTTGGCTCATTGCAACCTCCGCCTCCTGGGTTCAAGTGATTCTCATGCTTCAGCCACCCAAGTAGCTGGGATTACAGGCACGCGCCACCATGCCTGGCTAATTTTTGTATTTTTAGTTGAGAAAGGGTTTTACCATGTTGGCCAGGGTGGTCTTGAACTCTTAGGCTCAAGCAGTCCTCCCCCTCAGCCTCCCAAAGTGCTGGGATTACAGGCAGGAGCCACCATGCATGGCCAACTTCTGTCTTTTAATTGGAATCTATTCATCTTTTGAGTTTAATGTAATTATTGATATGTTTGATTTAGGTCTACAATTTCACCATTGGTTTTTTGTTTGTCCCATCATTTTTTTGTTCTTACCTACTTTTGGGTCAATTGAATATTTTTTAGAATTTCATTTTAATTTATGTACCATTTTTAATTCAGAAAAGTAATTTCAGGCCAGGCACAATGGCTTATGCCTGTAATCCCAGGACTTTGGGAGGCCGGGGCAGGTGGATCACCTGAGGTCAGGAATTTGAGAACAGCCTGGCCAACATGGTGAAACCGCGTCTCTACTACAAATATAAAAATTAGCTGGTTGTGGTGGTGCACATCTGTAATCCCAGCTACTCAGGAGGCTGAGGCCTGAGAATGGCTTGAACCTAGGAAGTAGAGGTTGCAGTGAGCCAAGATCGTGCCACTGCACTCCAGCCTGGGTAACAGAGCGAGACTGTGTCTCAAAAAACAAAACAAACAAACAAACAAAAAACAAAGAAAAGTAACTTCAAGAAAATCTCATCAATTCAGCCAGCAATTTTGTTTATTTTCATTTGTCCTTGCAGGATTATGAAAGCCCTTGCAAATGCTGGAGTACCTGTCCCTAACGTTCTTGATCTCTGTGAAGATTCAAGGTAAAGTTCAGATGTTTTTGCTATTGCACTTTCAAGCTACAGGAGAGAAAAGCCCATATGCTAACACAAATTCCAATTTGTTAAAGACAAATAAAATTTGGGTAGGAGGGAAAAGAAACTTTATCACAACCTCTCCCAGAAGTTCTCAGATATTTAAGTTATCCTGCAAGATAAGTATATGCCTGCTTTAGGGATAATTGGTAGAAAACATCTTTTTTAACATTCAAAAAATACATATTAATCTAGTTTCATGTTGCTTGTCTTTATTTATTTTTTTAATCAGAGTCTTTCTAAACTGTTTTGTTTTGTTTTTTTGAGACGGAGTCTCATTCTGTCACCCAGACTGGAGTCTCATTCTGTCACCCAGACTGGAGTCCAGTGGCCTAATCTCGGTTCACTGCAACCTCTGCCTCCTGGGTTCAAGTGATTCTGCTGCCTCAGTCTCCTGAGTAGCTGGGATTACAGGTGCCCCCTACTATGCCCAGCTAGTTTTTGTAATTTTTGAGTAGAGACAGGGTTTCGCCATGTTGGCCATGCTGGTCTCCAACTCCTGACCTCACGTGATCCACCCACTTTGGCCTCCCATGATGCTGGGATTACAAGTGTAAGCCACCGTGCCCGGCCCTAAACTATTTATTTATTTATTTATTTATTTATTTATTTTTTATTGATAATTCTTGGGTGTTTCTCACAGAGGGGGATTTGGCTGGGTCATAGGACAATAGTGGAGGGAAGGTCAGCAGATAAACAAGTGAACAAAGGTCTCTGGTTTTCCTAGCAGAGGACCCTGCGGCCTTCCGCAGTGTTTGTGTCCCTGGGTACTTGAGATTAGGGAGTGGTGATGACTCTTAACGAGCATGCTGCCTTCAAGCTTCTGTTTAACAAAGCACATCTTGCACCGCCCTTAATCCATTTAACCCTGAGTGGACACAGCACATGTTTCAGAGAGCACAGGGTTGGGGGCAAGGTCACAGATCAACAGGATCCCAAGGCAGAAGAAGTTTTCTTAGTACAGAACAAAATGAAAAGTCTCCCATGTCTACTTCTTTCTACACAGACACGGCAACCATCCGATTTCTCAATCTTTTCCCCACCTTTCCTGCCTTTCTATTCCACAAAGCCGCCATTGTCATCCTGGCCCGTTCTCAATGAGCTGTTGGGCACACCTCCCAGACGGGGTGGTGGCCGGGCAGAGGGGCTCCTCACTTCCCAGTAGGGGTGGCCGGGCAGAGGCGCCCCTCACCTCCCGGACGGGGCGGGTGGCCGGGCGGGGGGCTGACCCCCCCCCACCTCCCTCCCGGACGGGGCGGCTGGCCGGGCAGAGGGGCTCCTCACTTCCCAGTAGGGGCGGCCGGGCAGAGGCGCCCCTCACCTCCCAGACGGGGCGGCTAGCCGGGCGGGGGGCTGACCCCCCCACCTCCCTCCCGGACGGGGCGGCTGGCCGGGTGGGGGGCTGACCCCCCCTCCTCCCTCCCGGACGGGGCGGCTGGCCGGGCAGAGGGGCTCCTCACTTCCCAGTAGGGGCGGCCGGGCAGAGGCGCCCCTCACCTCCCAGACGGGGCGGCTGGCCGGGCGGGGGGGCTGACCCCCCCACCTCCCTCCCAGACGGGGCGGCTGTCCAGGCGGGGGGCTGACCCCCCCACCTCCCTCCCGGACGGGGCGGCTGGCCGGGCGGGGGGCTGACCCCCCCGCCTCCCTCCTGGACGGGGCAGCTGGCCGGGCGGGGGGCTGACCCCCCCGCCTCCCTCCCGGACGGGGCGGCTGGCCGGGCAGAGGGGCTCCTCACTTCCCAGTAGGGGCGGCCAGGCAGAGGCGCCCCTCACCTCCCGGACGGGGTGGCTGGCCGGGTGGGGGGCTGACCCCCCCACCTCCCTCCCGGACGGGGCGGCTGGCCGGGCGGGGGGCTGACCCCCCGACCTCCCTCCCGGACGGGGCGGGGGGCTGACCCCCCCCCCCACCTCCCTCCCGGACGGGGTGGCTGCCCGGCGGAGACGCTCCTCACTTCCCAGATGGGGTGGCTGCCGGGCAGAGAGGCTCCTCACTTCTCAGATGGGGCGGCTGCCGGGCGGAGGGCCTCCTCACTTCTCAGACGGGGCGGTTGCCAGGCAGAGGGTCTCCTCACTTCTCAGACAGGGCGGCCGGGCAGGGACGCTCCTCACCTCCCAGACGGGGTCTCGGCCGGGCAGAGGCGCTCCTCACATCCCAGACGGGGCGGCGGGGCAGAGGCGCTCCCCACATCTCAGATGATGGGCGGCCAGGCAGAGACGCTCCTCACTTCCTAGATGTGATGGCGGCCGGGAAGAGGTGCTCCTCACTTCCTAGATGTGATGGCGGCCGGGAAGAGGTGCTCCTCACTTCCTAGATGGGATGGCGTCTGGGCGGATACGCTCCTCACTTTCCAGACTGGGCAGCCAGGCAGAGGGGCTCCTCACATCTCAGACGATGGGTGGCCGGGCAGAGACGCTCCTCACTTCCTAGATGTGATGGCGTCACTTCCTAGATGTGATGGCGGCCGGGAAGAGGTGCTCCTCACTTCCTAGATGGGATGGCGGCGGGGCGGAGACGCTCCTCACTTTCCAGACTGGGCAGCCAGGCAGAGGGGCTCCTCACATCCCAGACGATGGGCAGCCAGGCAGAGACACTCCTCACTTCCCAGACGGGGTGGCGGCCGGGCAGAGGCTGCAATCTCAGCACTTTGGGAGGCCAAGGCAGGCGGCTGGGAGGTGGAGGTTGTAGCGAGCCAAGATCACGCCACTGCACTCCAGCCTGGGCACCATTGAGCACTGAGTGAACGAGACTCCATCTGCAATCCCGGCACCTCGGGAGGCTGAGGCTGGCGGATCACTCGCGGTTAGGGGCTGGAGACCGGCCTGGCCAACACAGCGAAACCCCGTCTCCACCAAAACCAGTCAGGCGTGGCGGCGCGTGCCTGCAATTGCAGGCACTCGGCAGGCTGAGGCAGGAGAATCAGGCAGGGAGGTTGCAGTGAGCTGAGATGGCAGCAGTACAGTCCAGCTTCGGCTCGGCATGAGAGGGAGACCGTGGAAAGAGAGGGAGGGGAGACCGTGGAAAGAGAGGGAGAGGGAGACCGTGGAAAGAGAGGGAGAGGGAGACCGTGGAAAGAGAGGGAGAGGGAGACCGTGGAAAGAGAGGGAGAGGGAGACCGTGGGGAGAGGGAGAGGGAGAAGACTATTTTAAACAGCTTTGTAACATGCTTTTTGAGTGTCTCTTCTTTCCTAATGTTTTAATTATGTAACATTTGAAACCTTCAGAAAAGGTGAAAGAAGAAAAACTAATACAATGAATACCTGTTTACACTTCATCTAGATCAAAAATTAAAACATTGTTAACATTTTGCCACATTTATTTTCTGTATATGTGTGTGTGTATACATGTATACTTTTAACATGTAGATAATGATTTTTTTTGGCTGAACCTTTTGAAATAAGTTTCAGACAGCATGCATCTCTCAAGAATAAAGACATTGACCGGGCATAGTGGCTCACTCCTGTAATCCCAGCACTTAAGGAGGCTGAGGCAGGTAGATCACTTGAGCCCAGGAGTTTGAGACCAGCCAGGGCAACATGGCAAAACCCCATCTCTACAAAAACAAACAAAAAATTAGCCAGGCGTGGAGGTGCACACCTGTAGTCCTACCTACTTACCCGGAAGATTGTGGTGGGAGGATCACCTGAGCCTGGGAGGTGGAGGCTGCAGTGAGCTGTGATCACATCACTGCACTCCAGGCTGGATGATAGAGTGAGACCCTGTCTTTTTTTTTTTCCTTTCTTTTCTTCTTCTTCTTTTTTTTTTGAGATGGAGTCTCACTCTGTTGCCCAGGCTGGAGCGAAATGGCGCGGTCTGGGCACACTGCAACCTCTGCCTCCTGGATTCAAGCAGTTCTCCTGCCTTAGCCTCCCAAGTAGCTGGGATTATAGGCATGTGCCACCACACCCGGCTAATTTTTGTATTTTTAATGGAGACGGGGTTTCGCCTTGTTGGCCAGGCTGGTCTCAAACTCTTGACCTCAAGTGATCCATCCGCCTCGGCCTCCCAAAGTGCTGGATTACAGGTATGAGCCACTGCACCCGGCCGACATTGTTTTTCATAACCACAACACCAGTATACCTAACTAACAATTATTTAATAATAATACTGAATATCTAACCCATGTTCAAATTTCCCCAATCCAAAACATCTTTTGTAATAATTTTTCAACTTGAAACATTTGTAATGGTAGGATTTTCAAAACAATTTTTTAGAGTAGTAAACTGGAGGCTGAGGCAGATGGATCACTTGAAGCCAGGAGTTTGAGACCAGCCTGGCCAACGTGGTGAAACCCCGTCTCTACTGAAAATACAGAAATTAGCTGGGCATGGTGGCGCTCACCTGGAGTCCCAGCTACTTTGGAGGCTGAAGCAGGAGAATCATTTGAACCTGAGAGGCAGAGTTTGCAGTAGGCCAAGATCGCACCACTGCACTCCAGCCTAGGTGATAGAGTGAGACTCCATCTCAAAAATAAATAAATAAATAAATAGAGTAGTAAACTGTTTGCTAGTAATGACCAAAAGATGGATTAGTGACATGTCATTGGGTCACCTTAGTACTGCTGGGTGGTATATACACCACTCATACCACCAAAAAATGATAAAAATAACCTCAATAACAAGAAGGGATACTTATTGAACCCTTATTGGAACCAGAGACCATGTCAGGCACTCTGTATGTTTGTTCCCTAATTCATTTCTTTTTTTAAGTAACAAATACCCTGGAAGCTCCCTTAATTCTTGCAATTACCCTTTGAAGTATGTATGTTTTACAGATTAAAAAACAACAACATGGCTGGGTGCAGTGGCTCACGCCTGTAATCCCAGCACTTTGGGAGGCTGAGGCGGATGGATTACGAGGTCAGGAGATTGAGACCATCCTGGCTAACAGAGTGAAACACCGTCTCTACTAAAAATACAAAAAATTAGCTGGTTGTGGTGGCACATACCTGTAGTTTCAGCTATTCGGGATGCTGAGGCAGGAGAATCACTTGAACCCGGGAGGCGGAGGTTGCAGTGAGCCAAGATCGTACCACTGCACTTCAGCCTAGGCAACAGAGCGAGACTCCATCTCAACAACAAAGCTCAGAGAGGTTTAATAAGTCTCTCAGGGTCACTCTTCAACTAAGAGCAGAGTTGGGATTTAAACCTGGTTCCAACCAGGTGCAGTGGCTCACACACGTAATCCCAACACTTTGGGAGGCTGAGGCAGTCAGATTACCTGAGGTCAGGAGTTTGAGACCAGCCTGGCCAATATGGTGAAACCCCATCTCTACTAAAAATACAAAAATTAGTCAGGCGTGGTGGCATGCACCTGGAGTCCCAACTATTTGGGAGGCTGAGGCAGGATAATCGCTTGAACCCAGGAGAAGGAGGTTGCAGTAAGCCAAGATCGCGCCACTGCACTCCAGCCTGGGCGACAGAGCAAGACTCCATCTCAAAAAAATAAATAAATAGGCCGGGAGCAGTGGCTCACGCCTATAATCCCACCACTTTGGGAGGCCAAGGCGGGTGGATCACGAGGTCAGGAGATCAAGACCATCCTGGCTAACACGGTGAAATCCTGTCTCTACTCAAAATACAAAAAATTAGCCGGGCGTGGTGGCGGGTGCCTGTAGTCCCAGCTACTCAGGAGGCTGAGGCAGGAGAATGGTATGAACCTGGGAGGCGGAGCTTGCAGTGAGCCGAGATCGCGCCACTGCACTCCAGCCTGGGTGACAGAGCGAGACTCCGTCTCAAAAAATTAAAAAATAAATAAATAAATAAACAAAAAATAAAAACCTGGTTCGGTGTGACTCCAGAGGTCCTTCTCTGAGCCTTGCTGCTTGCTACATTATTACACTTTGAATCCATTCCTGTGGCTTACACAAATGAACCAGGGAGAAGAGAAAAGCATGCTGTCCAAGAAGCATAGATGGGTGTGCATGTGTGTGTGTGCACGTGTGTATGTATATGTGTGTGTGCATGTATGTGGATCGATCCATTGCAAGAGAGGATACTTCTAATGCACTGTGCTTATGTGAAAGGAAAAAGGAAGTATCCAGTGCTCTGGGTCTGAACTCTTCACCAGCTCTCAACCTGTATACCCAGGGAAAGTGACAAAGAATAGGGTCATGACTAACAGCCTGCCACATTATGACTCTGATCCCTGAAACCCCTTCTGTGTTCCTCCCAGTGTCATTGGCACCCCCTTCTATGTGATGGAGTACTGCCCAGGTCTCATCTACAAAGACCCTTCCCTGCCAGGCTTGGAGCCCAGCCACAGACGAGCCATATACACTGCCATGAACACAGTCCTGTGCAAAATTCACAGTGTGGATCTGCAGGCTGTGGGACTTGAAGACTATGGGAAGCAAGGTGAGCAGGAGGCCACGTCTCCCATGCTGGTTGTTTCATCACTAGTGCTTCTGCTTTTAGGATCTGAATCGTTTTGGGTCGTTTTGAGTATTAGCACACCAAGCGTAAGGCAGACTTAGCTTCTTCCTTGGAAATCCAGTTTAGTTTTAATGGAGGTGTTGCTGACTTAGGCATTTGGGCCTTCAATAAATCCCTTTATGAACTACACAGTCTTTCTTCCCTGCAACTTTTTTTTTTCATTTTTTCTTTTTTTCCCTTAAATATTCTGCTATCCAATTCCCTGCAACTTTTATCTCACTAGACCATTTAAATTTTTTTTCTGATACTGACCATAGGTATTTAAAATGTATTTTTCTCCGTTTTTTACCCTTTCCCCTAAATATTCTTTTCAACAGGAATATATGTATTTTTTGAGATGGGGGTCTCACTGTGTTGCCCAGGCTGGTCTCAAACTTCTGGGCTCAAGCCATCCTCCTGTCTCAGCCTCCCAAGTAGTTGGGACTCTGGGCATGTGCCACCGTGTCCAGTTTCAACAGGGATAGTTTTTTTGTTTGTTTGTTTTTTGAGACAGGGTCTCTCTCTGTCGCCCACACTGGAGTGTAGTGGTGTGATCTCGGCTCACTGCAGCCTCAACCTCTTGGGCTCAAGCAATCCTCCTGCCTCTCCCTCTTGAGTAGCTGGGACTACAGGTACGCACCACCATGCCCAGCTAATTTTTGTATTTTTAGCAGAGACAGGTTTTTGCCACATTGCCCAGGCTCTACCCAAACTCCTGCGCTCAAGTGATTTGGCCTCCCAAAGTGTTGGGATTACAGGCATGAGCCTCTGCAGCCAGCCCTCATGTAGTTCTTACCACATGCCAAGAATAGTTCTAAGGGCTTTACATATTTTATTCTCCCAACAGCTCTATGAGGACCATCTCAAGATGAGGAAACTAAAGCATAGAGATGTTAAGTAACCTGCCTGAGATCACAGAGCTAGAGAACAACAGAGCTGGGTTTCATAGCCTGGCAGTCTGGCTCCAGGGTTCATGTGCTCAGCTAACCACTGTTGTTTAGCCAAAAAGTGATTTATGAAAGGCTATTAGGAAGCACAGAAGATCTTTTTTTTTGAGATGGAGTTTTGCTCTTGTCACCCAGGCTGGAGTGCAATGGCGCAATCTCGGCTCACTTCAACCTCCGCCTCCTGGGTTCAAGCGATTTTCCTGCCTCAGCCTCCCAAGTAGCTGGGATGACAGGCACCCACCACCACACCTGGCTAATTTTTGTATTTTTCAGTAGAGATGCGCTTTCGCCATGTTGGACAGGCCAGTCTCGAACTCCTGACCTCCTGCCTGCGTTGGCCTCCCAAAGTGCTGGGATTACAGGTGTGAGCCACCATGGCCGGCCACAAGGTCTTTAAGAGGACCAGAGATCATACTTGGAGACCATATAGCTAGGAACAGCACCCAGACCACACTAATCCAGCCAAAGAGCTGGTGACTTCCACCTTGGGGCAGCAGGAGCATCATGTGGGAAATTCTCCAGTCATAGGAACGTGTTCAAAGACACTGCACCACCCAGTGCAGAGCATGACAAAGGGTTTCACTGCACTGGTTTTTTTTTCCGCTACTTTCAGAGGTTGCTGAAATTGCACACCAAGTTCTAATCCTATTTCCCGCAGGGGACTATATTCCACGCCAGGTACGAACCTGGGTTAAGCAGTATCGAGCTTCCGAAACTAGCACCATCCCAGCCATGGAGAGGCTGATCGAATGGCTGCCCCTCCATCTTCCCCGTCAGCAGAGGACCACAGTGGTGCACGGGGACTTCAGGTAGATGTGGTGGCAGGGAGAGCTGAAAAATGACAGCAAGGATGCTCCAAGGGGGAATTGAGCAATTGGTCTTGGTGCAATTTACAGCTGGGAATTATTCCTATTACAAAGCACCTGTCTGTGTGTGGCCTTTTCAGGCAGGGTTTCTCAGCTCTGGCACTGTGACATGTTGAATTGGATAAGTTTTTGTGGTGGGAGCTACTGTGCATTGCAGGATGTCAGGCATCATCCCTGGCCTCAACCCACTCGATGACAGTAGCACCCCTCCCCACAGAGTGTGACAACCAAAAATCTTCGCAGACCTGGTCCAGTGTTCCCAGGGAGGGCAGCATTCCTCTGTTGAGACCCACTGTTTGAAAGTAAGGCAGAGTCTATGGCCATACCACCCTGAACAGGCCCGATCTCATCTGAAAGTAAGGCAGAGTGAGGGTGCCACTCACCTCCCAAGAGGCCTGGGGATGGACATTCTCACTGGGTGTAATGAAAGGATTGAAAGAGAGTGACAGGGTCTCTGGGGGTATGTGATGAGTCTGTAGCACGGCTAAAATGGGAACTTCAGTATGCCTGGCGTCTGGCGGCAGTGTCTAGCTTTATCTTATCATCTCTTGCTGTGAAAACTGCCCGTTAGGTACTTTTATAGGGTAGTGTTTATAGTGTTTTCTGCTTCGCAGCACCTGGAGACCTGCTTTTGATGCAAGCATGCCTTATTTGGCTTGTCTTCTTGCCCATCTGGGGACTCAGGCCTTTTATTAAACAAGACTAGACAGTGAAGGCTAATTTTAAAGACATTTCCGTTTCTTTTTTTTTTTTTTTTAGACATCGTCTCACTCAGTCGCCCAGGCTGGAGTGCAGTGGCGTGATCTCAGCTCACTGCCTACCCCACCTCCTGGGTTCAAGCAATTCTCCCGCCCCAGCCTCCCGAGCAGCTGGGATTACAGGTGTGCACCACCATGTGTGGCTAACTTTTGTATTTTTGGTAATCCAAAAATACAATACATTTTTAGTAATACAAAAATGTGAGATGGGGTTTCATCATATTGATCAGGCTGGTCTCAAACTCCTGCCCTCAAGTGATCTGCCCACTTTGGCCTCCCAGAGTGCTGGGATTATAGGCATGAGCCACCATGCCCAGCCTTAAAGACATTTCTTTGCCTTCCAAATTTGATTGGCCTCTCTTCATTGGCTTGACCGGTGTCCCTCGCTCCCGGCTTCTTCCGTTAGCCAGCCACCTTTGGGGATCCCCCTGGGTCTGAGAGTGGACAGCTGAGCTTTCTTTGTCATGTGGTCATCACGGGAGCTTGAGGAACCTGCTTCTGCATCAGAGACTGATGGGGCCAAGTGCTTCCCCCACACTGCCTTGAACGTGGCATGCAGTTGGGCTGCATTTGACCCCCTCCTCCATCTTCTTTCTCCACTTGGGATTCTAGAGCACTTGCCTGACAACACTTTCCTTGCCAGCCATTGCCATGTATTTCCTTTGGCGGGGAAGACCTCAGGTGGCCTTTGTGTCACCAGCCCACAACAGCTGCTCCGTGGACCTTGTCTTTGCTTCTCTTGGCACCTCAACAATCCACGAATGTGATCAAGTATACAGCAGGCAGGAGATATCCAGTGCAGTCTGAGCACCCCCTCCCCTAGCTATAGTGAAGTATGATGATCATTTAGGATGTTGCCTCCAGGAAAGGCATCCTCTGATTTTAGAGAGCGTGCTGCTGCTTATTGATCAACACAGTCAGAGATAGTTCTGTCTTTTGATGGATAGAAGAACATTTCTTGCTAGTGGAGTGAATCAGCGGTGGTGGGAGCATAAACTGCTGCAGCTACTTTGAAAAGTAGTAGGCAGTGGCCAGGCACGGTGACTCAAGCGTGTAATCCCAGCACTTTGGGAGGCGAAAGCGGGCAGATCACTTGAGGTCAGGAGTTCGAGACCAGCCTGGCCAACATGCCAAAATCCCATGTCTATTAAAAATATAAAAATTACCTGAGTGTGGTGGTGCCCCTGTAATCCCAGCTACTCGGGAGGGTGAGGCAGGAGAATCACTTGAACCCGGGAGGCAGAGGTTGCAGTGAGCCAAGACCGCACCACTGCACTCCAGCCTGGGTGACAGAGTGAGACTCCATCTCAAAAAACAACAAAAAAAGAAAAGTAATGGGCAGTAACATGGAAGATGGGAATATGCTACAACCCATCGTTTCTTGTAAAGAAGCATCTGCTGCAGCTTTGCACCAAGAGACTCAGGTGAAGATGTTTGTTTTGGTCATGCTTGTAATTATAATACATGATAAATAAAGTGTAGTTTGGCCATATGTTGGAATTCTATTTAGTGAGTAAAATAAACCAATTTGCTGTACATAAGTCATAAGTCTCAAAAAAGATAATCGAAGTAGAAAAAAGTTTCAAAAGGGTAATATATCATTTATGAAAATTTAAAAATAATTGAAAGAACACTATATGTGGTATATAGGTACAGGTATAGATAAGAGAAATATAGAAATGTCTGAGACTGATATATACCAACTTCAGGGTAGCAGTAAATCTCATTTTTAAAAAATCTGAAGCAAATGTAACAAAAAAGCACGTACAATATCTGTTAAATCTGGAAGGTGGACACATGAGTTCTGTCATTATGTCATTCTCTGTATTTTTCTGCATGCTTGATGTTTACTTTTTCTTTTAAATAAAGCATGCATTACAGACAGCCCTGGCAGGAAACAGAAAGCATGAAAGAGGCTATCTGGGGAGAGTTCAATATAGGGTTATTTAGTTCAATATAGCGTGGTTTAGAGGAACCGCTGAAGAACAGCGTGGAGTCCCGGGGCCAGTAACAGTGAGGGGTCAGTCTGACAGGGCAAGCATGTGCTGTGGTTATTGCTACTCTACAACAAACTTTGTCAGAACTGAGTGGCTGTCAACAACGACAGCAGTCATTTTGCTTATGAATCTTTGCAGTCTGGGGACAGGACAGCTTATTTCAAAGTAGGGCGGCTGTCGGGTGGGGCTGGATCTTCTGAAGACTTGCTAGCATGCTGGCCCTGGGCAGAGAAGATATTAACAGCCGGGCTCCTTGGGCCTCTCTTTCTGTCTCTTTGTGGTTCCCACATGGTCTCTCCAGCATGGCAACTTCTGGGTAACTGGACTTTTTTTTTTTGAGACAGGATCTTGCACTGTCACCCAGGCTGGAGTGTAGTGGCAATTCATAGGCTGGAACATAACTCACTGCAGCCACCAACTCCTGGGCTCAGTGATGCTCCCACCTTAGCCTCCTGAGTAGCTGGGACTACAGGCGTGCACTACCACGCTCAGCTAATTTTTAAATTTTTTTTTGTAGAGATAGGATCTTGTTATGTTGCCCGGGCTGGTCTTGAACTCCTGAGCTTAAGCAGTCCTCCGAAAATGTGGGGATTACAGGCATGAACCATTGCTCTCAGCCCTGGACTTCTTACCTGGGGGCTCAGGGCTCCAAAATAGTGTGTTTCAAGAGACAGAGGGCTGGGCAGAAGCTGTATCACGTTTTCTGACCTAGTCTAGTTTCAGGAATCCCTCAGCATCACTTCCACGTGTCTTATATCTGTTAGAAGCAAGATGCTTCACTGGGCCAAGCATTAGACTCTACCTTTTGTGGGAGGAGTGTCAAAGGATTTACAGATCTGTTTTAAAACCATCACAGGGAGGGAGTAATTCCCGGAACCCAGAGAGGCTAGCTCTCTGGGGAAGGCTGCAGAGAAGGAGCTGGGGAAATAAATAACCAGGCCCTTTCCCATCTCCTGCTTTTGATTGGCTGAGTCCAGCTGGAAGCCAGAGGGCAAGGGAGCCTTTGGAGCACACAGCCCAGGGAGCTCAGGCACCCGGGCACAGAGGGGATGGGAGGGTGGGGAGCCAAGCCTAAAGGGCAAACAGACCACGCAGAATCCACCCTAGCCGGCAGTTTTCTTAGTGCTGTCTCTATTCCTCCTGCGACTTTTCAGGCTCGACAACCTGGTGTTTCATCCAGAAGAGCCAGAGGTGCTTGCTGTCCTTGACTGGGAACTTTCTACCTTGGGCGACCCCCTTGCTGATGTGGCCTACAGCTGCCTGGCTCATTACCTGCCATCCAGTTTTCCCGTGCTGAGAGGTAGGAACTGCTGCTGGAGGATAGTGGGGGAGCAAGCCAGTTCTCCAAGCATTTGGGAGCAAACTCAGCTGAAGTAGTCCGTGATTGGGCGGGGGAAGTGAAAGTGAGGTCCTGGTGGTTCTGGTGGGAAACATAACTAGAATGCAGTCCTGTCACATTTACGGGAAAGTGGATATAGGATGTGTTTTAAGTGAAAAGTATGCCTGTATAGGTACCGCTTATGCTTTTACACAGCTAACTTCTATTTAGGGTTTTAAATTAAAAACACATTCATTGTGGCTGGGTGTGGTGTCTCATGCCTGTAATCCCAGCACGTTGGGAGGCCAAGGCGGGTGGATCACAAGGTCAGGAGTTCCAGACCAGCCTGGCCAACATGGTGAACCCTGTCTCTACTAAAAATACAAAATTAGCTGGACGTGGTGGCGTGTGCCTGTAACCCCAGCTACTCGGGAGGCTGAGGCAGGAGAATTGTTTGAACCTGGGAGGCAGAGGTTGCAGTCAGCTGAGATCATGCCATTGCACTCCAGCCTGGGCAACAGGGCGAGACTCCATCTCAAAAAAAACAAAAACAAACCACATTTATTGTGAAAATACTAGAGCCAACAGATAGCAACAACAACAAAACAGTTAAAATCATTAGTAGTCCCAGAGATAACCATTTGCTGACATTTCAGTATCTATCCATGTCATCTTTTCTTCTGTGTGTATATGTACATTTCCTAAAACAAAACAAAAATGTAACATGATCTAATGGCATGCTTTTTTTCACTTCATTGTATACTGTAGACATGTTTTCATGACATTAAGTATTTCTTCTATAGCATAATTTTTAATGAGAGCATATAATTTTATTGTATAGAATTAAGGGAAGACGGCCGGGCGCGGTGGCCCACGCCTGTAATCCCAGCACTTTGGGAGGCCGAGACGGGTGGATCACGAGGTCAGGAGATCGAGACCATCCTGGCTAACATGGTGAAACCCCGTCTCTACTAAAAATACAAAAAAATTAGCTGGGCGTGGTGGTGGGCACCTGTAGTCCCAGCTACTCAGGAGGCTGAGGCAGGAGAATGGTGTGAACCCGGGAGGCGGAGCTTGCAATGAGCTGAGATGGCGCCACTGCACTCGAGCCTAGGCAACAGAGCAAGACTCCATCTCAAAAAAAAAAAAAGAATTAAGGGAAGACATTTGGGTTAATTCCTATTTAGATATTTAATTTGTTTCCAATTTTTTAGTATTACTTCCCCTACTTCCATGAAAAAAAGGCAGTGAACATCCTTGTAGTAATATATTTGCCTATATATAAGGTATACTCCTAAGATTAATACCTAGGAATGGAATATATTACATGCTTCTAAATCATGAAAATGTCACAACTGGAGGAAATAAGTGAATTTTTTTTTTTTTTGAGACGGAGTCTCGCTCTGTTGCCCAGGCTAGAGTGCAGTGGCGCGATCTCAGCTCACTGCAAGCTCCACCTCCCAGGTTCACACCATTCTCCTGCCTCAGCCTCCTAAGTAGCTGGGACTACAGGCACCCACCACCACGCCCGGCTAAATTTTTGTTTTTGTAGTAGACATGGGGTTTCACCGTGTTAGCCAGGATGGTCTCGATCTCCTGACCTCATGATCCGCCCGCCTTGGCCTCCCAAAGTGCTAGGATTACAGGCGTGAGCCACTGCGCCTGGCCCGTGAAATTATTTTATTTGCTATAATTATCATTTTCATAATTTGGTGAGATCTTTTTATTTTTATATTTATTTATTTATTTGTTTATTTGTTTATTTATTTTTGAGATGGAGTCTCCCTCTGTCACTCGTTTTATTTATTTTTGAGATGGAGTCTCACTCTGTCGCCCAGGCTGGACCACAGTGGCGCAATCTCGGCTCACTGCAACCTCTGCCTCCCGGGTTCAAGCGATTCTCCGGCCTCGGCCTCCTGAGTAGCTGGGATTACAGGCGTGTGCCACAATGTCTGGCTAATTTTTGTATTTTCAGTAGAGACAGGGTCTTCACCATGTTGGCCAGGCTGGTGTCGACCTCCTGACCTCAAATGATCTGCCCTCCTCGGCCTCCTAAAGTGCTGGGATTAGAGGCATGAGCCACTGCACCCAGCCAATTGTTTTTTTTTTTTTTTTTTTGAGATGGAGTCTTGCTCTGTCACCCAGGCTGGAGTGCAGTGGCGTGATCTCAGCTCACTGCAACCTCTGCCTCCTGGATTCATGCAATTCTCCTGTCTCAGCCTCCCTCCCAGGTAGCTGGGATTACAGGTGCACGCCACCATGCCTGGCTAATTTTTGTATTTTTAGTAGAGACAGGGTTTCACCATATTGGTCAGGCCGGTCTTGAACTCCTGACCTCAGGTGATCCACCTAACTCGGCCTCCCAAAGTGCTGGGATTACAGGCATGAGCCACTGTGCTCGACCTGAGATCGCTCTTTCCATATCATTTTTGATCAAATGACTGGTTGAAGATAATATGCATCCACCCTTAACTGTGGCCAGATGGAATTGGAAGCTCCCATTCCTTCCTTTACTGCCAGTTGAGTCTGAAACCTGTAAGAGCCAATTTGTGAATAATGACTTCATGCCTGGATCCCCAGCCATCTAAGGGAGCAAGAGCCAATGCAGGAATAAGCTAACCCATGGAACTGGTCGTGAAACTAATTTGCAAGGGACATGGCGATTTTCAGAATTTAAATATTTGCCAGCCACAGGGGCGTGTCACGTCAGTGACTACCCATGAATGGCTCTGTCTTTCTCGCAGGTATTAATGACTGTGACTTGACACAGCTGGGAATCCCTGCTGCAGAGGAGTATTTCAGGATGTACTGTCTCCAAATGGGGCTCCCTCCCACTGAGAACTGGAACTTCTATATGGCTTTTTCCTTTTTCCGTGTGGCTGCAATCCTACAGGGAGTCTACAAGCGATCACTCACAGGTAATGGGATGGCTGCCCTGAAGAGCCACTGCGGGGTGAGTCACAGCAAGGACCGTGCCTCCACCTGGAAACCCTCTCAGGGCCACAGAGGCTTTGGAGAGACCGATTTGGCCAGGATTCTCTGAGGTTCAGTTAATCTAACCATTTGTCCATAAATATTTTCTTTACAATATTTATTTATTTATTATTTGTTTTTGAGACAGGGTCTTGCTTTGTCACCCTGGCTGGAGTCCAGTGGTTTGATCCTGGCTCACTGTAATCTCTACCTTCTGGGTTCAAGCGATTCTCCTGCCTCAGCCTCCAGGGTAGCTGGGACTACAGGCCTGCGCCACCACGCCTGGCTAATTTTTTTTTGTATTTTTAGTAGAGATGAAGTTTCACCATGTTGGCCAAGCTGGTCTCGAACTCCGGGCCTCAAGTGATCCGTCTGCCTTGGCCTCCCAAAGTGCTGGGATTACAGGTGTGAGCCACCATGCCCAGCCTCTTTACAATATTTAAACTTGTTTTTTAATTATTAAAGTAATGCACAAAGAAATTTTTCCAGTTAAAGCATTCATGCACATGATCAAAATTTGGTCATATAGAATTATGTAAAATTGTATCTCACCCTTTTCAACACCATTCCTCAAAGATAAATGTTACTGTTAAGAGTTTCCTGGGCCCTCCAGTTTTTCTGTTTATCTGTCTTCTCTCTCTCCTCCTACTTTTACACAAATGTGATCATCCTATGTGTATTTTTCGGTACTTTGATTTTAAAATTTTGTAAGCTTAAGAATTTCTGTGAAATATGTGTGTGACCATTTGCATATTTAACAACTATATGAGGCAAATTTCTTGGTGTGTGTGTGTGTGTGTGTGTGTGTGTTGAGACAGTTTCTCACTCTGTCGCCCAGGCTGGAGTGCAGTGGTGCGATCTTGGTTCACTGCAACCTCCACCTCACCAGCTCAAGCAATTCTCATGCCTCAGCCTCCCAAGAAGCTGGGATTATAGGCACATACCACCATACCCGCGTCATTTTTTTGTTTGTTTTTAGTAGAGATGGGGTTTTGCCATGTTGGCCAGGCTGGTTTCGAACTCCTGACCTCAGATGATCCATCCACCTCGGCCTCCCAAAGTGCTGGGATTACAGGCATGAGCCACTGAGCCCGGCCAGTCCCCAAGTCTTTAGGTAAAACCCCTGTGGTCTTTGACAACTTCCTTGCTCGCTAGTATGACAAAATGTTCCAGGTTCATCTTGTCTATCCAGCCTACCCAACATGGTGAAACTGTGTCTCTACTAAAAATACAAAAATTAGCCAGGCATGGTGGCGGGTGCCTGTAATCCCAGCTACTTGGGAGACTGAGGCAGGAGACTCACTTGAACCTGGGACGGGGAGGTTGCAGTGAGCCGAGATCGTGCCACTACACTCCAGCCTGGGCGACAAGAATGAGACTCTGTCTCAAAAAAAAAAAAAAAAAAAGACTTGGGAGCCAACCTGAACAGGCTCCCACTTGCTAACAATAGGAAACTTTGGGCATCACCAAGGATGATAGCTGAAATGGATGAAACACATCAGGTATGTTTAAATCCATGAGTAGTAGCCGGGCATGGTGGCTCAGGCCTGTAATCCCAGCACTTTGGGAGGCCAAGGTGAGCAGATCACTTGAGGTTAGGGATTCAAGACCAGCCTGGCCAACATGGTGAAACCACATCTCTACTAAAAATACAAAAATTAGCCAGGTGTGATGGCGGGCGCCTAAAATCCCAGCTACTCAGGGGACTGAGGCAGGAGAGAGAATCACTTGAACCCAGGGGGCAGAGGTTGCAGTGAGCTGAGATCGCGCCTGTGCACTGCAGCCTGGGTGACTGAGCAAGACACTGTCCCCCCAAAAATAAAAATTAAATAAATAAGTCCATGAGTAGTGATACAAAAACAAAGAGACAAAGTCTCATTGATGACCTCAGAGGTTGCCAGGAAAGCAACTTATTATTCTGAAAATTGGAAAATGGGGTGGGGGGGTGGGGAATCAAGCATTTGTCCTGTCTTTCCTGTACAAATGATACTGCAGGCTATCCAAATAATCAATGAGGGAATGTTTCTCTCTAGAGAAGTATCCTGGACAGAATAATATAGAATTTGCATATCACCAATTTGCAACTCCTAATGCATTAATGGATGTGGGCAATAAGCTTCAATGAAAGCCAACACCACTGAGAGACAGACAGCCAGACATTATATACCTCCTGATGCTTCCCTCAAAAGTTACACTGACTCTGCCCAGGTCTCCAGTGCTAGCTGCCAACTCATGGGAAACACAGGGTTCAGAGGGACATGTTCAGCAGCACCCTGGGCACAGCACTCACAAAATCCAGATTCTGGAAAACATCACAGGGCAAACAACTCAGTTTCTTCAAACACTTACATTTCAAGGGGAGGAAAAGGGTGAAAAAGGAACCTGTAGATTGAGAGAGACTTAAAAGAAACATCAGGCTGGGCGTGGTGGCTCACGCCTGTAATCCCAGCACTGTGGGAAACCGAGGTGGGTGGATCACCTGAGGTCAGGAGTTTGAGACCAGCCTGGCCAACATGGGGAAACCCTGTCTCTACTAAAAAATATAAAAATTAGCCAGGCCTGGTGGCGGGCACCTGTAATCCCAGCTACTCGGGAGGCTGAGATAGGAGAATTGCTTGAACCCAGGAGGCGGAGGTTGCGGCGAGCCATGATTGCATCACCGCAGTCTAGCCTGGGCAACAAAGTGAGACTGTCTCAGAAAAAAAAAAGGTGGGGGGAGCGGGGAGAGACTTAAAAGATACGTTAGCCAGTTACAGTGTTGGGACCTTATTTGGATCCTTTCTTGAACAAATTATTTGGAAAAAATTTTGATGATAGTCACTGAAACTTGAATTCTGAGTGGATAGTCGATGATATGAAGAAGTTAACAGTTAACGATTTTTTAAGGGTAATAATAGTATTGTGGGTTTTTTAAAAAACATTTGTTTTTAGAGTTTTGAAAGAATCCTAGATGAGATATTTGGGATTTACTCCAAAAAATCCAGGACAGTGGGAGTGGGGATGGCAGGGAATGAAACCAGACTGGGCTGGCATCGATCATTGCGGAAGGCGAGCAGTAGAACCCGTAGGCTTGTTATTCTCTCCTCTCTACTCCTGTGTGTCTTTGAAATTTTCCAAAAGGAGGCCAGTCATGATGGCTCACGCCGGTAATCCTAGCACACTGGGAGGCCGAAGTAGGTGGATCACCTGAGGTCGGGAGTTTGAGACCCCTGGCCAACATGGTGAAACCCCGTCTCCACTAAAAATACAAAAATTGCCTGGGTGTGGTGATGCCGCCTATAATCCCAGCTACATGGGAGGCTGAGGCAGGAGAATCACTTGAACCCGGGAGGCAGAGGTTGCAGTGAGCAGAGATCGTGCCACTACACTCCAGCCTGGGTGACAGAGCAAGACTCCATCTCAAAAAAAAAAAAAAAAAGGCCAGGTGCGGTGGCTCATGCCTGTAATCCCAGCACTTTGAGAGGCCGAGGCGGGGGGATCACGAGGTCAGGAGATCAAGACCATCCTGGCCAACATGATGAAACCCCGTCTCTACTAAAAATACAAAAATTAGCTGGGCTTGGTGGTGTGTGCCTGTAATCCCAGCTACTAGGTGTCTGTAATCCCAGCTAACTAGGGAGGCTGAGGCAGATGAATAGCTTGAACCAGGGAGTCAGAGGTTGCAGTGAGCCGAGATTGCTTCACTGTTCACTCCAGCCTGGTGACAGAGCGAGACTCCATCTCAAAAAAAAAAAAAAAAAAAAGAAAAGAAAAAGAAATTTTCCAAAAGCAAAACTTAAAAACAAAAGGCAAGGAGAAAGAAGGAGAAAGGAATTCATCATGGGATTTGCTAGTGCTGATGGAGTGTTTAGCTTTGCAGTCAGTGACACCCCAAGCTTGCTGGCAGCCTGTGTTCTCAGCCAGGTTGCCAGAGTCTTCTGAGAGAAGCAGTTGCAGTAGGGGAATTGATCATTCATTCCCAAGTATATGAGCCTCTACTAAAAGCCAGCACTGTGCTAGGTGGTCCTGGAGATACACAGTCATGAGAAAAACTGTCCGGAGAAAAACCAGTACCCAGAGAATTTCTAGTTTAACTGTACCTGGTCTGATAAGCAGGGGATGCTGGAAGCAGGAATTTCTGGAAACAATATTTTCCCTCTTTTAGGAAAATACAGTATCAGCTGTAAGCCACTATTTCCCATTTTTTTTATAGTTTTCCAATAAACACTAACCAGAAATATTTACTTAAACAGAATGGCTGCTAAGTCCTTATGGTGATGAATAGTCCTGGTCACCTCTGATATTTCCTAGCCGGCTGCCAAGTTTTCTCCCTGCTCTGCTCCAGTGACCTGGGAAAAGCTTAATAGACTGCCCATTTTAGAGTCTCCACACTGAGTGTCCTCAGCCTGTCTCTCAGGAAGCCCTTTGACATGTTTTTAAGATCCTGTGAGCCATCGTTGTGGCTTCTGGTTTCTCTCGGCCCAGAGCTAAAACACCCCACCTGTTTGCCACCAGACAGAAAAATGTCTGTTTGTTCAGGCCTTTATTCCTCTTATCTTACTGTGCACTCCTTTCCCTCCCTCTGGGAAGCCAGCCAGACACACTGAGGAAATGGCTTAGTTTTCTCATGTAAAAACAACAAAATCCATTTTTTGAAAGAATAATATAAAAACGTATGATGAATGGGGAAAAAACCAACTATACAAACATAAATATTACTTCTGTACATTTGTCTTCTACAATTAGCTTTAAAATCATTTTTGTTTGAACAGCTGAGATATTTGGTACTGGCCAGGAAAACTGGAGCTTAGAGAAGGGGTATCTGTTTCCAAGACATTCTCTCTATGGTGTCATTTACAAAAGACTTCAAATCAGCATTAGATTGGGAAGGGGATGAGAGAGACCAGAGCCCAGTGAGCAGAAGATTAACAGTATGTACCTGCCCAGCCCATGTGTCCTTCTCCTTCCTTAATAAGTGGGTGCAGAAATTAGATTTCTGGTAGATGGCCACTGAAATTCTATAAAGTGCTTATGACTGCAAGTTAAGTGGACACCAGTGATGTGGTCTCTTCTGCTGGAACTACATTTTGGAAAATATACCAGAAGCAATAGATCTAAATCAATCCAAGCTTATACAAGTGACTTTTTTCAGGGACAAAGTAGCAGTCTCAGAGTGGGAGCCAACCAAATAGAAGAAAATTAAGAATACACCTCTTACTCTGTTAGAAGAAGAAAATCCTTATGAATAATAAGGAACATAAGGGAGTATCTTTCCCTTCAATGTGCTGTGTGCAGTCCGAGGAATAAGGAATAAGCCCCCACTGTGTGTCTGCAAGGAAGAGGCTATCTGGTTTCTGACTGACTTCCCTGGGTTAGGTTCATACCTAGCACCCAGAAGGTCCTCAGTAGAGACCTATTGAGGTCCAGTAGGCTAACTCTCTGCAGGGTAGCAAAGAATTTGCTCTGAGTTTGTTCCTAACTCTGTAAGGAATAGTTTAAACTATCTTTAACACCAAAGCTGCATGAAAATGGCTGTCTCAGCTGGGCATGGTGGCTCATGCCTGTAATCCCAGCAGTTTGGTAGACTGAGACAGGAGGATTGTTTGAGGCCAGAAGTTCGAGACCAGTTTGGGCAACGTAGTAAGGCCCCATCTCTTATTTAAAAATAAATAAAATATTTATTTTTTTGAGACGGAATTTTGCTCTTGTCACCCAGGCTGGAGTGCAATGGCATGATCTCGGCCCACGGCAACCTCCACCTCCTGGGTTCAAGCGATTCTCCTGCCTCAGCCTCCCCGGTAGCTAAGATTACAGGCGTGCATCACCACACCTGGCTAAATTTTGTACTTTTAGTAGAGACAGGGTTTCACCATGTTGCCCAGGCTGGTCTCGAACTGACCTCCAGTAATCCACCCACCTCAGCCTCCCAAAGTGCTGGGGTTACAGGCGTGAGCCAAAGCACCCAGCCTAAAATGAAATCATTTAAAAAAAGAAAATGGCTGTCTCTTTAGAACTATCAATTTATCCATTTATTGGGTACAGTCTCTTGGGGACATGGAAGTGCTAGAAGTAATCCAGGAGAGCTGGCTGTGAAAAAGTTCACTGTGAGGAGACATTGTACACATAGCAATCTGGATGTGTCTCAGATGCAGGGCTCAGAGTGATGGAGGCCATACTGAAAAGGCCACATGCTGAGTGACATATGTATTTATGGGACATCCTGGAAGAGACAGACTACAGAAACAGAGATCAGTGGGTGCTGGGGATCAGGGGGGCAGGGGTTGAGTACAAAAGTACACTGGGGAAATTTCCAGATGATGGAAATATTCTGTTTTTTTTTTTTTTTTTGAAATGGAGTCTCGCTCTGTTGCCCAGGCAACCTCCGCCTCTCGGGTTCAAGTGATTCTCCTACCTCAGGCTCCCAAGTAGCTGGGACTACAGGCATGTGCCACCATGCCTGGCTAATTTTTGTATTTTTAGTAGAGACAGGTTTCACCATGTTGACCAGGCTGGTCTCAAACTCCTGACCTCCGGTGATCCACCCGCCTCAGCCTCCAAAGTGCTGAGATTACAGGTGTGAGCCATTGCGCCTGGCCGAAGTATTCTGTATCTTGATGGCAATGGTAGTTACCCAACTATGGATTTGTTAAGACTTGCAGAGTTCTACATTAAGGAGGTGTATGTACACCACTCCTCAATTTTTTTATTTTTATTTATTTATTTTTTTGAGATGGGTGCCTCACTCTCTCCCAGGCTGGAGTGCAATGGCACGATCTCGGCTCACTGCAACCTCTGCCTCCCAGGTTCAAGCGATTCTCATGCCTTAGCCTCCTGAGTAGCTGAGATTACAGGCACACACCACCATGCCTGGCTAATTTTTGTATTTTTAGTAGAGATGGGGGTTTCTCCATGTTGGCCAGCCTGGTCTTGAACTCCCGACCTCAAGTGATCCGCCCACCTCAGCCTCCCAAAGTGCTGAGATTACAGGTGTGAGCCACCGCACCTGGCCACCTTAATTTTTTTTAATGGGGAAAAATATGTTTGTAAAAAAAGTCTTGATGCACATTTTACAAGAAGAA
Source organism: Homo sapiens (assembly GCF_000001405.40). Classification (NCBI taxonomy): domain Eukaryota; kingdom Metazoa; phylum Chordata; class Mammalia; order Primates; family Hominidae; genus Homo; species Homo sapiens. Next base: position 111,744,118 of record NC_000012.12, read on the forward strand.
AGAGACGCTGTGAGAGCCAAATAGTGAGCTGAGTGATGCTGGTGTTGATTCCCTCCAGAGACAGTGGTGTCTAGAAGTTGGCTCTTCCTTTAGTCAGTTGTGGCATTGCTGTTATCAATTTTGTAGCAAGGGTGGTCTAGGATGCAGGACTTCTTATAGCCCACTGGCAACGGCAGAGGTGATCTGGGGTGTTACTGATTAAATGTAGTCTTTTAGGAAAGCAGAGATCAAGAGCAGGGAGCAGGCAGACCTAAGTTGGACTCTGGCCCCCAGCCCCCTAACTTCCAGCTCGTCCAAGTCACCTCCTTCTCTAAGACTCAGTTTTCTTGCGTGCAAAGTGCAGGTGAAAGCAGTTGTATTGCTTTGGGGATTCAGTGAGCTATAGTGGCTCTTAGCACAGTGTTTGGTACTTAGCAAGTGCTCAGCAAATGGCAATAGCTGCTGAAGTGACAGTGTCATCACATGTTAACATCCCTATGATGGGTCGTGTGGGAGTAATCACTGTTTTTCTTTGATTCTGCTTAGGGCAAGCAAGCTCCACATATGCGGAACAAACTGGAAAGCTGACCGAATTTGTGTCTAACCTGGCGTGGGATTTCGCAGTCAAAGAAGGGTTCCGGGTTTTCAAAGAGATGCCCTTCACAAATCCGTTAACAAGGTCCTACCACACGTGGGCCAGGCCCCAGTCCCAGTGGTGCCCCACAGGCAGCAGGAGTTATAGCTCCGTTCCAGAAGCTTCCCCAGCTCATACCTCAAGGGGAGGTCTGGTTATCTCTCCAGAGAGCCTCTCTCCACCTGTCAGAGAGCTGTATCACCGGCTGAAGCACTTCATGGAGCAACGTGTGTACCCTGCAGAGCCAGAGCTGCAGAGTCACCAGGCCTCAGCAGCCAGGTGGAGCCCCTCCCCACTGATCGAAGACCTCAAGGTAAAGCAGCCATGGTGAGGTGGTAAGACCCCAATACCATGGCATACCCTCCCCGACCCCACCGGGCTCACCTGAACCATCCCAGGCAGTGAAGATACAGGAGCTCCGAGTTGAATGATCTTTGCTTCCATCGTCTCAGAAAGAGCCAGCTCTTCATGACTCAGTTTCCATCTCTTGCTCTTGCTGTGCCTGTGTCACAGGCAGATGGCTCAGGTGTGACTGCACAGCCCAGGCAGTGGAATGCTTGGCCTTAGAAAGCCAGGGCAGGTTAGGCCTATCTGATGGGTATTTGAATTATGTAAATTTGAAACAGTGCTGTATCAGCTAATAAATCTCTCTCTAGAGAACCCGTAATATCACAGCTAGAGGGCCAGATCCACTGTGAGCTGAGTTTCTGTGTTGTCTCCCAGTGCTGTCACTTCAGCTGATAAACAGAAACACCCGCTGTTCCTTATCACGTGAACCTTGGATTGTGTTAGTTTTGAAATTACTTGAGATCTTCAGGAGCATAATGCAATCATCATCTACTTTTCTTTTTTTCTCTTTTTTTTTGAGACGGAGTCTTGCTCTGTGCAACTTCCGCCTCCCAGGTTCAAGCGATTCTCCTGCCTCAGCCTCCCGAGTAACTGGGATTATAGGCACGTGCCACCATGCCCAGCTAATTTTTGTATTTTTAATGGAGATGGAGTTTCACCATGTTGTTCAGGCTGGTCTTGAACTCCTGACTTTGTGATCCGCCCGCCTCGGCCTCCCAAAGTGCTGGGATTACAGGCGTGAGCCACCATCTCTCTCTTTTTTTTTTTTTTTTTTTTTTTTGAGACAGGGTCTCGCTTTGTCACCCAGGGTGGAATGCAGTGGTGTGGTCATAGCTCACTGCAGTCTCAACCTCCTGGGCTCATGTGATCCTCCCACTTCAGCCTCCTGTGTAGCTGGGACCACAGGCACAGCCACCATGCCCAGCTCCTCATATCATTTTTTTGGGCACACGTGCATGTTTGGTTGTCTGCCTTGTTTCCTCCAATCCCTTTCATTGTTTTCCACGGTTCAAAATAAAATGAAATCTTCCACTGTGGTTTCCTGACTTATTTTCCCCATGATAGGAGAAAGCCAAAGCTGAAGGACTTTGGAACCTTTTCCTACCCTTAGAGGCTGATCCCGAGAAAAAATACGGAGCAGGACTGACCAATGTGGAATATGCACATCTGTGTGAGCTCATGGGCACGTCCCTGTATGCCCCCGAGGTACCTTCTTTAAAGTTTTCCTCAGTGTGTGGGAACATCCTGATCTTCATAAGAACTCAATCCTAAACAGATAAACCAGATTCAGAAGCACTGGCATGAACTTGAACTTTTTTTTTTTTTTGAGATGGAGTCTCGCTCTGTCACCCAGGCTGGAGTGTAGTGGCGAAATCTTGGCGCACTGCAACCCCTGCCTCCTGGGTTCAAGTGGTTCTCCTGCCTCAGCTTCCCAAGTAGCTGGGACTACAGGCATGTGCCACCACACCTGGCTAATTTTTGTATTTTTAGTAGATACAGGGTTTTACCATGTTGGCCAGACTGGTCTCAAACTCCTGACCTCAGGTGATCCACCTACCCTGGCCCCACAAAGTGCTGGGATTACAGGCGTGAGCCACCATGCCCATCCAATTTGAAGCTTGAAATATTAATGTGAGAAGGCCAGGCATGGTGGCTCACACCTGTAATCCCGGTACTTTTGGAGGCCGAAGTGTGGGGGATCACTTGAGGCCAGGAGTTCGACACCAGCGTGTGCAACATAGAACTCTGTATGTACAAAAAAATAAAAAATTAATCGGGTGTGATGGTGCATACCTGTAGTCTCAGCTGCTTGGGAAGCTGAGGCATGGGAGGATGGCTTGAGCTGAGGAAGTCGAGGCTGCAGTGAGCCATGATCGTGCCACGATACTCCAGCCTGGGTGACAGAGCTTGACTCTGTTTTTTTTAGAAGAGGACATGACAGTCATGGTCACGCTCCTTTTCCTTCTCAGGTATGTAACTGCTCTGCGCCTGACACGGGCAACATGGAGCTGCTGGTGAGGTATGGCACCGAAGCGCAGAAGGCTCGCTGGCTGATTCCTCTGCTGGAGGGGAAAGCCCGCTCCTGTTTTGCTATGACCGAGCCCCAGGTACGTCGCCTGGGCTGCCACCCACTTGCCTGGCCCTGTTGTTGTCGGCCCCACAGGGAACACGGGCTGTCTGCTGGCGTCTCTGACTGGAATATGCTCCCCACTCAGGTTGCCTCTTCAGATGCCACCAACATTGAGGCTTCCATCAGAGAGGAGGACAGCTTCTATGTCATAAACGGTCACAAATGGTGGATCACAGGTATTTGGCCTAAAATGCACTTTCCAAATGCACATCAGGGAGTCTGTGCTGTTAGGCGCGTCTCTCAATGCCTGGGAGGAGCCTCTGCTTTTTCAAGTTGACACAAAGGAGATTCTGTCACTTAGCGCCCCCAGCAGAGGCAGCTGGGAGAATAGGAGGGTAATCCGTGGAGCACACTGTTCTCAGAGGTGGCACTTCACAGGGCAGGGACGTCCCCCGGTGCCCACACATGGACGGATGCCTCCCTGCACATGTGACCCCAGGAATCTCTCCACTTCCTGCTGTTCATTCTGCTTTGGGCAGCTCCCCTTCCTTGGTGGCTTCCTGGCTCCTCGATCAGGTGTGTTACATCCTAAGGGCTAATGACAATCCTGACTTTTAGGGATTGTCCAGTGTTACTTTTGCAGGGCCCCTACAAGTAGCCGTGGAGCTTACCTCCCGGAGCCCATACCTCCCTGGACATTAAGAATGAGCATCCCCATTTTGCAAAGGAGGAAACCGCACTCAGACTTAGGTCCCTTGCCTGGGGTATGAGCCCCCAGCCAGCAAGTAGAGAACCCAGAGTCAAAGGTTCACCTGATTCCAAGGCCCGGGCCCAGAGCCGTTATGTGTGCACCACCTGTGGGAGCCGAGCCAGCTGGCAGGGATCAAGTAGCGGTTTTCATCCTCTTGTCTCTAAATTATATTTTCTACTCTATGTGATGCTTTTAAAAACTTGCTCTTATGATGTTGGATTCATTCCTCACTGGGACAAAACCCAATTTGCTCTTATTTCTGGTCAGCAGTCTGCAGATGCTCATCTGATTACATGGAGCCTTAAAGAGCTCTGTCTGCTTCCTTACTGTGCCTTTCTTGGGCCAGGACCACGTGTGTAGAGATTTGATGGCCCTGGTGTCAGATGATGGGGTCTGTCTCTCTCCTTTCCTGGCAGGCATCCTGGATCCTCGTTGCCAACTCTGTGTGTTTATGGGAAAAACAGACCCACATGCACCAAGACACCGGCAGCAGTCTGTGCTCTTGGTTCCCATGGATACCCCAGGGATAAAAATCATCCGGCCTCTGACGGTGTATGGACTGGAAGATGCACCAGGTGAGACCTCCAGGGGCGGGTCACCCCTGGGTGTGGGTCTGGTCCCCAGGAAACACCACTGAGGGGCCCCTGCTCTTGTTCAGGACTTGCCACATCCCACGTCTGAGGGTATGATGACATTTGGAGTCACATGCTCCTGCATTTCATTTCCATACATGAATATCAACCATGCAGGCGGATTTCAGACAGGCATTTATGGATTTTTTTCCCTCTTCTAAACTTAGAAAGTAATCAGGAGTCTGTGACACAGGAAGCCATACAGGGCAGACGCAGGAAGTGGACCCCAAACCTACTCTTCCAGGCCCCAGTGTGAACAGCTGACCTCTAGGCCACAGCCCTGGTTTGGTCCGCTCCCAGTTTGGTTCTCTGCTAATAGTGTTCACATTTTTACTTTCAGTGTTTTCATAGGATCACTACATTGTCACAAACCACTAGGAGCTTCAGCTTAAGGTGGCATTATTATGTTTTTATAAAAGGAATCACAGAATAGTCATTTGCCATTATAAATCAGTGATTCATTTTCTGTGTTTAACAGGCTGTTTCCTGCCGTCCTTTTCCCTTTAACCATGTCCCAGTAAGAAGGCTAAATAAAGGGCAGGGACATTGCCAGCAGATAACCCAGACTGAGGTGAGGAATAAACACATCCAAGGAAAATGACTATGGCTATTGCTCACAGTGATCGTTTGGGTCTTTCAGGTGGCCATGGTGAAGTCCGATTTGAGCACGTGCGTGTGCCCAAAGAGAACATGGTCCTGGGCCCTGGCCGAGGCTTTGAGATCGCCCAGGGCAGACTGGGCCCCGGCAGGATCCATCACTGCATGAGGCTGATCGGGTTCTCAGAGAGGGCCCTGGCACTCATGAAGGCCCGCGTGAGTGCTTTCCCCCGCACCCAGCACTGACTCAGAACCACCACCTTCTGCTTTGCTGTCGGACTTCAATTCCTACCTGTTTTCTGAGTGCAGTCCTAGCAGGTGAAGCAAGGTGATGTCCTTGCCAAGAAGTTGCATTCCTGTCTGCTTTGCATCTGCTACTTTGCTGCAGTTTGGATTCAGAGCAGAATGGACCCCACTCTGTCGAGGTGACCTGAAGGGAAACGCCAGGCTCTGTAGCAGCAGAGGCAAGGTTCCAAGGTGTAAAGGTCATGCTGCTAGCACATTATTAAAAATCAGTCTGGGTGCAATGGCTCACAGCTATAATCCCAGTACTTTGGGAGGTCTAGGTAGGAGGGTTGCTTGAAGCCAAGCATTTGAGACCAGCCTAGGCGAAAAAGAGAGACTCAGTCTCTACAAAAAAAAAAAAAATTTTTTTTTTTTTTTTGAGATGGAGTCTTGCTCTGTCACCAGGCTGGAGTTCAGTGGTGTGATCTCGGCTCACTGCAACCTCCACCTCCCGGGTTCAAGCAATTCTCCTGCCTTAGCCTCCCAAGTAGTTGGGACTACAGGCACGTGCCACCACGCCCAGCTAATTTTTGTATTTTTAGTAGAGACAGGGTTTCACCATGTTGGCCAGGAAGGTCTCGATCCCTTGACCTCGTGATCTGCCCGCCTCGGGCTCCCAAAATGCTGGGATTACAGGTGTGAGCCACCGTGCCCGGCAAAAAAAAGAAAAAGTTTTTTTTGTTTTTTTTTTTTTTGAGACGGAATCTCACTCTGTTGCCTAGGCTGGAGTGCAGTGGCGCGATCTTGGCTCACTGCAACCTCTGCCTACTGGGTTCACACCATTCTCTTGCCTCAGCCTCCCGAGTAGCTGGGACTACAGGCACCCGCCACCATGCCTGGCTAATTTTTTGTATTTTTAGTAGAGATGGGGTTTCACCATGTTAGCCAGGATGGTTTCGATCTCACCGTGTTAGCCAGGATGGTCTCGATCTCCTGACCTCATGATCCGCCCACCTCAGCCTCCCAATGTGCTGGGATTACCGGCGTGAGCCACCGTGCCTGGCCAAAAAGAAAAAGTTTTAAGTGCCAGGCATGGTAGCATGTGTCTCTAGTCCCAGCTACTCAGGAGGCTGAGGCAGAAGGATCGCTTGAGCCCAGGAGTTTAGGGCTGCAGTGAGCAGTGATCACACCACTGCACTCCAGCCTGGGTGACAGAGTGAGACCCTGTCTCTTTAAAAATAAATAAATAAATAAAAATCAGACACCAGGGAGATCCCATGTTGCTTGTTTTTGTCCCTAGGCTTCCATCATCTGGCCTGTACCACCCTCCTCCACAGCACATCCAGAAAACTTTATTCGGCCATAATCCTACCACCCCCAAAGTTTGGAAACCTAGGTTAAAAGACAGCTGCTTCCAGGACAGGAATTCAAATTGGTGATTATCAATTTCAGAAAGGTGACGCAAACCCTGAGACCAAAACCAGTGTCTCACAAGAACTGCTATTGAAAGAACAGAGGCAGTCTGAATTTTTTATTACCGAGCAAACCTGTGATTTACACCCTTTTGAGTTAAGACTGACCAGTTATTTTTTCTTTCTAAGTAAAACGCTCCTGTCTATGGACTCAGGTATGGTGCTTCAGCCCCACATGGAATTAAATTCAGCCTTCTGGCAGAATAATTGGACTGAATGAGTCAGACAGAAGTCTCCAGAAAGTGCATAGCATGAACATGGCACCTCCACTGAAGACTTGGTTGGAGTAATTAGGAATCTACAAAAGATTTGCTACAAGGAGGTTCACCACAGTGCTTATTGAAATAGCAAAATTCTGAACAACCTATAAGGCTAACAATGACTGTTGGCCAAATAAAACACAAGATGGCATACAGTGAGACTTTAAATGATGCTGTGGAAATCTATTCCTTAACATGGAGAAATTGCTCACTATATACACTTAAATTTAAAAAAAAAGACTGTGGCCAGGTGTGGTGACACTCCCAGCACTCTGAGAGGCCGAGGCAGGCAGATTGCTTGAGCCCAGGAATTTGAAACTAGCCTGGGCAATACGGCAAAACCTCATCTCTATAAAAAATAAGGCTGGGCGCGGTGGCTAACGCCTGTAATCTCAGCACTTTGGGAGGCTGAGGTGGGCGGATCACTTCAGGTTAGGAGTTTAAGACCAGCCTCGCCAACATGGTGATACCCCGTCTCTACTAAAAATACAGAAGTTAGCTGGGCATGGTGGCACATGCCTGTAATCCCAGCTACTTGGGAGGCTGAGGCAGGAGGATCACTTGAATCCAGGAGGCGGAGGTTGCACTGAGCTGAGATTGCACCACTGCACTCTAGCCGGAGTGACAAAGCAAGACTCCATCTCAAAAAAAAAAATTAAAATTAAAAAATTAAAAATAGTAGCCAGGTGGGGCTGGGTGTGGTGGCTCATACCTGTAATTCCAGCACTTTGGGAGGCCGAGGTGGGCAGATCACCTGAGGTCGGGAGTTCGAGTCCAGCCTGACCAACATAGAGAAACCCTGTCTCTACTAAAAATATAAAATTAGTTGGACGTGGTGGCGCATGCCTGTAATCCCAGCTACTTGGGAGGCTGAGGCAGGAGAATCGCCTGAACCCGGGAGGTGGAGGTTGCGGTGAGCCGAGATCGCACCATTGCACTCCAGCCTGGGCAACAAGAGCGATACTCTGTCTCAAAAAAAAAAAAAAAAAGTAGCCAGGTGTGGTGGCACACATTTATAGTCCTAGCTACTCAGGAGGCTGAGGTGGGAGGATCTCCTGAGCCTGGGAGGTCGAGGCTGCAGCGACCTGTGAGTGTGCCATTGCACTGCAGCCTGGGTAACAGAGCAACACCCTGTCTGGGAAAAAAAAAAACAAACAAAAACAGGCTGTTAGCTTTGATGCAAAATAATGTTTTGTTGTTGTTGTTGTTGTTGTTGTTATTGTTTTAAGCAGGCTGGCCGGGTGCTGTGGTTCATGCCTGTAATCCCAGCACTTTGAGAGGCCAAGGCAGGCAGATCACCTGAGGTCAGGAGTTCAAGACCAGTCAGGCCAAAATTATGAAACACCCCATCTCTATTAAAAAAATACAAAAATTAGCCAGGTGTGGTGGCAGGCACCTGTAATCTCAGCTACTTGGGAGGCTGAAGCAGGAGAATCACTTGAACCCCGGGAGGCAGAGGTTGCAGTGAGCCGAGATCGCGCCACTGCACTCCAGCCTGGGCAACAAAAGCGAAACTCTGTCTCAAACAAACAAAAAGGCTACAAAACCATATATAGAGTGTGGCTCCCGTTTTTGGAAAAAATAAGTATATATAAAAAAACTATAGAAGGATAGAGGAGAATATCCACCAAATATTAACTAGTGGTGACTAGATGGTGGGATTCTAGGTGCTCTTACTGTCTTCTCTTTTTTTGTTCTGAAAACAGGTAGTTTTTCTGCCATGAGATAAATTATTTGTGTAGATTGTTTTTAGTGAAAAAAAAAAAAAAAAACTAGGCTGGGTGTGGTGGTTCATGCCTGTAATCCCAACACTTGGGGAGACCAAGGCAGGAGGATTGCCTGAGTCTAAGAGTTTGAGACCAGTCTGGGCAATGTAGTGAGACCCTGTCTCTACAAAAAATTGGAAAGTTAGCTAGATGTGGTGGTTCTTGCCTGTGGTCCCAGCTACTCAGGTGGCTGAGGTAGGAAGATTGCTTGAGCCCGGGAGGCGGAGGTTGCAGTGAGCCAAGATCACGCCACTGCACTCCAGCCTGCGCAACAAAGTGAGACCCCGTCTCCAAAAAAATAATAAAAAAAAGAAGGAAAAAGAATAAATAAAACAAGAAAAAAAAAGGAATACTTAGAACCTTTTCTGATGCCTTGTGACTTTCAGAATTTAAAATCCCCCTTGCAGATAAGGCCACCCACGGCGGAAGGCCGGGAGCGAGACGGGGCTGAGGGGACCTTGCTCCCATTGGAGCTGCAGGGCAGGAAGGGGTGCTGCGGTCAGCAGAGGGCACCCTTCGCCTGCGCCGTGTGCAGTGCCTGCAGTCACTCCCTCATTCCCAGGAGTAGCCTTGGGTCAGATGCTGGCTCAGATCTATAACTGCTCCTGTCTGGTAGCCAGGCCTGCCCAGATGTGCAATGGCTGGAATAAAGGGTTCTTGGAAGCAATTTGTTACAGGCACCCTGTGGGCTGTGGCTGGCTGTGGCACACGTGAAGGTTGTGTGTCAGACCTACTCCCTGGACATGGCGCATGGCTGCACACAGGCACCTTGGCTGAGAAGATGCACAGTCCTGGTTTCACTCTCCTCCCCTGCCCTGTCCTGTCTGCTTCCACCCAGCTCTGCAGGCCACCAGCCCCCGCCTCTCGTGGCCACCCCCAGCCCAGCATGTCCTCAGCCGCACATCTCCTGTGTCGACAGGTGAAGTCCCGCTTGGCTTTTGGGAAGCCCCTGGTGGAGCAGGGCACAGTGCTGGCGGACATCGCGCAGTCGCGCGTGGAGATTGAGCAGGCACGGCTGCTGGTGCTGAGAGCTGCCCACCTCATGGACCTGGCAGGAAACAAGGTAGGGGCAGGGGCACGAGGGGGCCTCCCAGAGGCAGAGATTCTTCCTCCTCACTCAGCAAAGCATGAGAGCCTGGCTTCTTGACATTAGAAACTTTATTTCACCTCTACTTGGAGCTGTTTGGGCAGTTTTTCAAAAATTGGAAAGGCACAAGAAGAGAGGACTGGCCTTTGTGTTTTACTGACCTGGTGAGCTGCTTAGTCCAAGGCAGTGGGTCTGATGGGGCCACAGGGCCCCTGGGTGGCCCTGGACTCCCAGGGCCATTGGTGGAGGTGTTGGGCAACCTAAGAGTAAGGCAGGGAAAAGGGACCCTCTGCTGGCCTTCATCTGAATATTGAATTAACAAAAATAGAAGCTTATTTTCAAGTGTGACATTAGTCATTCACTAAGGCTCTTTTTAACCTTTTATTTATTTATTTTTTGAGACAGGGCCTTGCTCTGTAGCCAGGCTAGAATGCAGTGGTACATCATGGCTCACTGAAGCCTCAGCCTCCCAAGTAGCTGGGACTCCAGGCGCAAACCTCCATGCCCAGCTAATTCTTTATTTTTTGTAGAGACCGGCTCTCACCATGTTGCCCAGGCTAACTAAGGCTCTTTCTAAGTGCCTGTGATGACCAAGCACAATGCCATGTTGACCTTGCTTTGTCCAGCTTTCTGTGGGGCAGCCTCCAACCCCACCCAAGACCCTCAACCATCAGGGACCAACCCATGCTCATGCTCACAGTTCCTGGTTCTTTGACGCTGGCGTGCTAGATATGGTGGAGGCTGCTGGGTGTCTCCCTTGAACACCCTGCCCCAGGGCAGATCACTGTAGCTCGGTTTCCCAGAGCCCTGAGTGGCCTTGGTCCACTGCTGCTTGGAGGCAGAGCTGGCCGTGACCCTGAGCAAAGCACAGGACCCTCCCCTTATCCCTTCAGTGTGTGCTGGCTGTGTTCCCCGTCATCTGGGAAGACAGCCACATTCTGCCAGCACTTGCTTCGCATCTTGTGACATAAGATAATAGTTGCCAACATGGCGCCCTTCATCCCTGGGTGCTGTCAAGCCGTACACCAGGCAGGGGCAGCCTCACCCAGCTCACATCAGCGAGACCTTGGGGCCTCTGTTTTGGACGGTGGTGTTTGACTTCTTGCTGGGAATCTGATCATTCTTCCAGGCTTTCTGCCTTCGGGTCTTTTTTGTGGTTTAGTTTTTCGTTTTGTTTTTGAGAGACAGAGTCTCACTCGGTGGCCCAGGCTGGAGTAGAGTGGCACAATCTTGGCTCACTGCAACCTCCGCCTCCCGGGTTCAAGCAGCTCTCTTGCCTCAGTTTCCCAAGTAGCTGGGACTACAGGTGTGCACCATCACGCCCAGCTAATTTTTGTATTTTTTAGTAGAGACTGGGTTTCACTATATGTTGGCCAGGTTGGTCTCAAACTCCTGACCTCAGGTGATCTGCCCGCCTCGGCCTCCCAAAGTGCTGGAATCACAGGCCTGAACCACCGCGCCTGGCCTGTTGTTTGTTTTTGAGAGGGGGTCTCACTCTGTTGTCCAGGCTTGAGTGCAGTGTTGCAATCTCAGCTTACCACAGCCCCCAACTTCCCAGACTCAAACAATCCTCTCACCTCAGCCTCCTGAGTAGCTGGGACTACAAGCACATGCTACCACACCCTGCTAGTTTTTGTATTTTTAGTAGAGATGGGGGACGGGGGGGCCTCACTCTGCCACCCAGGCTGCCCTCGGGTCTTTTATGATCGCATCTCCTCCTCCTTACAGGCTGCAGCCTTGGATATAGCCATGATTAAAATGGTCGCCCCGTCCATGGCCTCCCGAGTGATTGATCGTGCGATTCAGGTGAGCACAGACCAGACAGTTGGCTTATTTGAACCATCAATACTAGATGCCAAACTCTCCTATCTTCAGCCGCCCAGCCTCCCATAGACCCTGGCAGATGCCCTGTGTCACCCACTCACCATGCATGCAACTTTCCTTTTCCTCTTCAGAATGACCCAGCAAGGTGGGAGGTGCCATCGTACCCCCATTTTGAATGTGAGGAAACAGGCACAGAAAAGTGAAGTGACTTGTCCAGGTCACTGAGCTTGCAAGTAGCTGACCTCAAATTCACATGAACTTGGGTTTTCATAAGCCCAGAGCCCAGGCTCTTTCCCATGCAGGGGGGCCGCCTCCTTAGATCCTAACCCCCGGCCCCAGCACAGGGCAGAAGGCACCTGCAGAGTGGGCCTGGGGAGTCTGGAGGCCGTGGGATGGCAGGTGTGGCCCCATGGAAGCCCTCTGGAATATTAGTGATTGTATCACATAGGTGCCACAGGGAAGTCCGGGAAGATGGTTGTTATGGGCCATCAAGAGCAGGCTATCATTCCTGGGGCTCTCGGAGACAAGGGCTGACCCAGGGCCGCCTCCCTCCACTCTGTGTCTGCCAGGCCTTTGGAGCAGCAGGCCTGAGCAGCGACTACCCACTGGCTCAGTTCTTCACCTGGGCCCGAGCCCTGCGCTTTGCCGACGGCCCTGACGAGGTGCACCGGGCCACGGTGGCCAAGCTAGAGCTGAAGCACCGCATTTAGAGCCTTGGGGCTGCAGTGGCTCAATGTCCTGGCTGGTCCAGCTGTGCCCAGATCTGTCACTGATGTGCCTCGAAAGATCCGGTGTTTGTGGCTCCTGCACCCTGCTCAGCAGCTCTGTCCCGGGACAGTCAGGGTGGACTCAATCTTTCTGGTTCTCCACAGAAGACGTCTCTGCAAGAAGCCTGGAGTCTGTTTCAGGCCAGGAGGAGGGGATTTGCTGAGGGCCAAGGGGGTTCTGGGACAGAGTCTGGAAAGCTGGTCTTCAGGCTCTCAGTCCCAGGCTGGGCAGGCACGGTCACTTCACTTCAGCCTTTCAGTCCCTCTCTCTCTGCCTGTGGGAATCTGGACACATTTTGGGAGGCCTCCCAAGGCTGTGGGACGTGCTTGCTCTGGCAGCTGCAGGGTTCCTGTCTGGCCTCCCTGGTGAGCAGAGGGGCGGCCACGGCGGGCGGTGGCCTAGAGACCCAGGACCTGGGCGCCTGGGAAAATGGAATGCAACCCACATTGTAAAGCCACTGGCATCTGATTATCTCCATTTGAACACACAGCACAGAACAATCATTTAAATGTTATTTTGGAAAGGGGTTTTGGGGACACAGAAGAATAAGTAAACACATCTCGGAGGCTTTGTGGACTTTCTGTGTCATACAAAGAGAATCGAGTGGAGAGGTTCCCTTCAGCGCCTTCATGCCTCCTCCTGCCTGTGTTTCCTCGAGGTCCAGGCCATCATCTCAGCCCCATACATGCTGGGAGCACAGAGGCCACGGGTCCGATAAGTCCCGAGTTGGCTGCCTTCCCTCACTATGTAGCCCGGGGCTCTGTGCTCATACATACTTTACCCAGGAGCTGGCATGTGAGGCCCCTGCAGCCTCCACCTGCTCCATAGTCAGAATATCTGGGCGAAGGGGAGGTGGTGGCCCATTCGCCATTACACTTTGGAGCACAATCTCTCTTCTCTGAGGAGAGTGGAAATGCTTACTCACTTGCAGTCTGAGCTCCTTGAGAAACCCAGCGACATGCAGAGGTGAGCCAGGGGCAGTGAGGCCCCAGCCTGCTCGTCTCATAACTCGTGGTGGGGTAGCCAAAACTCGTCTCAGGTTAGACCAGACGGGCAGGAACCATCCCCCCCGGCTGCCACCTTGCAGAGGTGACCCTGTGGGAACTGCCTTCCCTGAGAATGGCCAGCCAGGATCAGCACCATGAGGGGCCCGTGAATGGGCTCCTCAGACCCACATGCCCAGGGGTCTGGGGAGGCAGGTCCCCCTTCACCACACTTGAGAAACTGCTTGTTGCTCAAGGAAGTTAAACCCCAAACAAATGCCTGTCACAATGACAGCCACACTGGCCAGGAGCCCACTGCTAAGCTGGCAGGAGCGCAGCAGCTGAGTGCTCCCTCAGGCTCCGGGAGGAGAGGTTTTCTTCAAAAAAAAGGAAGTGGTCGTGGCCTGGCCTGTCTCATGGGCCTAAGAATGTCTTTCGTGGCCTCTGAGGTTAACCTTGCCTGTTCAGTAACGCAGCTGCTGAGAGGAAAATGGGAGTCAGGCTGTGGGTACCCCCATATCTCCCTCAGATCCTCTGCCTTGAGGGCTAGAGACCCCGGGGGCCCCAGGAATGCTGCCTGCAGACAGGCAGGTCCCCCCCAGGCCCTCCACCTCTGCTAGATCATTCTGCCCACCACTGTCGAGGGAGCCTCAGCTCTGGGCCCAGCAGGAGTCCAGGCCTTGGGGAATGTGCAAGTAAACAAAACAGGACAACTGCTGGCCTTTGGGGGTTTGCATCTCAAGTAGGGGATGGCGGTTAGTGCCCCAGAGGCCTGGGCGTGTGATGGGGCAAGCACTGCTGGGGCTGGAGGCTGAGGGGAGGACTCTTTCCAGAAGAGGTGTCTCAGCCAAACCTGCCTGACAAGAAGAAAGGGCAGGCTGGGCGCCGCGGGTCACACACATAATGCCAGCACTTCGGGAGGCCAGATGGTGTCTGGATGCCAAGACCTGTGCTCGCCAAGGCCTGATTTCAGATACCGTCAGATCATTCCACAACAATCCTACAGAGGCTGCAAAGAGACACTTCCAGGCAACTTGTCTGGGCAGGGCCCCTTCAAGACGGCAGCTGGGAGTGACACCGAAAGAACAGGCTCCAGTGATCTCTGCTGCTTGTACCCATTGTCAGTCCCCCAGGGTTGTCGGTCACCACCCAGGGCTTCAGAGTTCCCCAGGGATGCCTCGGGCGTGCCAAGGCTGTCACTCAGAGACCCCTCTTGTTGGTATTTCTGCTGCCCTCCCTGCTGCGACATAGGTACAGATTTCTCCCCTTCGTCCATTTTACCAAAATGGATGCGCGTTGGGACAGGTGAGTCCCGGACTCCAGCGGCCTGGGGCCCACACCTGCAAGTAACCTGGGACAGGGTTTCTTTTAATCAAGTTGACTGAGTGGAGAAATGGCCCAGGGGATTTTCTGTCCTATCAGTGTTAGACGGATGACACAGTGGTGAAGAGCTGTCAGAGGTAAAGGCGGACACTAAAGTGGTAGGGACAGGTTTTATTTATTTTTCTGAGACAGAGTCTCACTCTGTTGCCCAGGCTGGAGTGCATTGGTGCCATCTTGGCTCACTGCAACCTCCACCTCCTGGGTTTAAGCAGTTCTCCTACCTCAGCCTTCCGAGTAGCTGGGATTACAAGCATGCACCACCATGCCTGGCTAATTTTTGTATTTTTAGTAGAGACAGGGTTTTGCCATGTTGACCAGGCTGGTCTTGAACTCCCGATTTCAAGTGATCTGCCTGCTTCAACCTCCCAAAGTGCTGGGATTATAGGCGTGAGCCACCGTGCCCAGCAGGGACAGGTTTTAATCAGTCATAAGCCATTGCTTTAGAGAGCAGGGCCCAGCGGGAACTGAGCTCCACTTGGATTTGTGCGGAGGTGATGGGAGGGGTGGTGGTTGGGAGGGGGGCTCAAGAGTCAGGAAGGGGAACCAGAGAGAGCAGGAAGGAGTGTGGTTGGCGTGACACCTGTCTGGGTTTGCTAACTGGCGCTTAGGGTTAGGCTCCTGCCCTCCCTTGGAGGCTGGGGGACAGGGTCCATCTTCTAGTGTTGCTGGAACAAACAGTAATTTCTTTCAGCAGCTTTGGGCTTTCTCAGGCAGGTACGGGCATCCCACAGATGTGGTCTTGAGATGTTGGACACCATGTAACTTAAGTCTTTTCATGGGAGTATGGGGGTGTGGACTTAAGCATTTGTGCTGAAAGTCTGCAGTTTTAATATGCCAAGTTTGAGGTCTAGTGGAGATGGGAGTTCAGAGGAAGGCTGGCGAGAGCGTGCTCAAGGAGAGAATTTTTGTCAGGACTGTGGCTCTAGATTCAAATGGCCCAAATTCAAATGGGTTTAAATCCTGACTCTGTGACAGAGTAGCTGGGCAACCTTTGGAAATGTTCCTTCATCTTAGAGACTTAGATCTCTCGTTTTATTTATTTATTTATTTAAATTTTTTTTAAGAGACAGAGGTCTCACCATGTTGGCCAGGCTGGTCTCAAACTCCTGAGCTCAAGCAATCCTCCTACCTCAGCATCCCAAAGTGCTGGGATTATAAGCATGCGCCACCACACCCGGCCAGATTTCTCATTTGAAAAATGAGTAGACCAGTCCTTGCTTCCCAGAATCACCTGAGGATTAAATGGGATGATGTGTGGCTTACCATAAGCCACAGCACACACCAGCTGTTCGTGTGTGGCTGGAGTCAGGAGCGGGACCCGCTAAAGAGGAGGCGGCTGTGCTCACATTGGAGTGCAAGAATGTGGGGCCTCATCTGGGCTGAGGACTAGCCTGGACCACATAAGATGCCATGCTTCTCACACTCAACTAGCAAAGGAATGCCCCTGCGATCAGGTTAAAATGCAGAGCGTGGTGCGGTGGGCCTGCCTTCCTAACACACTTGCAGGTCATGCTCCTTGTTTTGGGACCCACTTTGAGAAGCGAGGGTGAGAAGGGCTTGACTTCCCTAACCTGATCCCCAGGGGAGGCAGAATGAGCAGACACCGCCTGGCTAGAATCATAAGAGCTACTGGGTATTTAGTACATACCAGGTGCCAAGAACTATCTGTATATTATTATTATTATTGTTTTTTGAGACAGAGTCTCACTCTGTTGTGCAGGCTGGAGTGCAGTGGTACGATCTCAGCTCACTGCAGCCTCTGCCTCCCGGGTTCAAGTGATTTTCCAGTCTCAGCTTCCTGAGTAGCTGGGACTACAGGCACGCACCACCACACCTGGCTAATTTTTGTAATTTTAGTAGAGACGGTTTCACCATGTTGGCCAGGCTTGTCTTGAACTCCTGACAGGTGATTGACCCACCTCAGCCTCCTAAAGTGCTGGGATTACAGGCATGGCCACTGCGCCTGGCCAGTTATTTTGAACCCTATAACAATTGGCAGATCCTTTTATTCTGCCCCTGCTAGAGATGAGGAGACAGAGGTTCAAAGGAATTGTGCAACTTGCTTAAGATCACACAGCTTGTCAGTGAATTCAAACCTAAATTCAGAAGATCCCAGAGCTCTTTCTACTCCATGGCATGGATCGTTAAGATCACCTCTGTGAGGTACTGGCCTCCTCACCTAGGAAAGGAGGAAGATGATGAGGCTCATGTCACCAAGGAGAGCGTGCTGTGCCCTCAAGAAGTGCATGAGCTTCTGATGCTTCCAGAATAATCTCCGGGATGCCCCCCCGACTGCCTCTTAGGGGGTCAGGCTCCATGATGGGGGTGTCTGCCCTGTGGCCCTGGCTGCCTGTGGAGTGTCAAGCCAGCTGTGTGTCCGAGAGAGAGAGAGATTGTGTGTGTGTGTGTGTGTGTGTGTGTGTATGTGTGTGTGTGTACATATGCAAACAAGGAGGGCAGAGCTGGGGCTCAGGGCTGACCATATTTTTCCTCCTACCTGTGAGGGCAGATGTCTTACTGTGTTTTGTTTTGTTTTGCTTTTGAGACGGAGTTTTGCTCTTGTTGCCCAGGCTGGAGTGCAATGGCATTATCTCAGCTCACCGCAACCTCCGCCTCTCGGGTTAAAGCGATTCTCCTTCCTCAGCCTCCCAAGTAGCTGAGATTACAGGCATGCACCACTACACCTGGCTAATTTTGTATTTTTAGTAGAGATGGGGTTTCTCCATGTTGGTCAGGCTGGTCTAGAACTCCCAACTTCAGATGATCCGCCCGCCTCGGCCTCAAAGTGTTGGATTATAGGCTGAGCCACTGCCCCCAGCCAGATGTCTTCCTGTTAAAATGGGGCTTTAAATTCCTCACCTAACATCATTGTTTGCAACAACAGCAACAAAGAGCTTCCATAGACAGAGTCAGTGTCCCAGAACGGGGACTAAACAACCAAACATCTAGAATCTCACCAGTCAGTGACCCTGAAGGAGACCTCAGTCACAACCTTTGTTGGAGAGCAAGTGGAACTAGGGTTTTTTAAAGCCTGAAAGCACATCAGTTGTGCCCTAACAATGAAAGGTTTCAGAGTAGTTGAAAGCTAGGAATTTGAATATCTTAGAGGAAGTTAAGTGGCTTGAGGTGCTTCCACCGAAGGTCTCAGCACCATGAGAATGCCTGTGCTTCTGCCGGCCCCATTCCTGCCAGTGAGCCCACAGACAAGGGGCGATGAAGAACCAGGAAACAGATGGAAAGAAACGTGGAAGAGAGGAAAGCCTCAGACTGTCAGGGTGAAATCTAGGTTGAGAGTTAAGTTTTAGTTCATTCTTTGGAGAGACTGAGCCACAAGGAGCCATAATTACAATAGCGTTTCAGCACATCCAGGTGATCTTGGTCTGCAGTATTTGGTTGAGGACTGTGTGAAAGCAGCTGAGGCCAAATGTGGTGGCTCACACCTGTAATCTCAGCATTTTGGGAGGCTGACTTGGGTGGATCACTTGAGGCCAGGAGTTTGAGACCAGCCTGGCTAATATGGTGAAACCCTGTCTCCACTAAAAATACAAACATTAACCAGGCATGGTAGTGCATGCCTGTAATCCCAGCTACTTGGGAAGCTTGAGGCAGGAGAATCGCTTGAACCCAGGAGGCAGAGGTTGCAGTGAACTGAGATGGTACCACTGCACTGCAGCTTGGGCAACAGAGAGAGACTCCGTCTCAAAAAAAAAAAAAAAAAAAAAAAAAGCAGCTAAGGAAGGCTACTATGGTCACAAAAGACTTCCCAGAAGATGGGACTTGGGCTGGATCTTGATAGGGAAGATTTCCATAAGGAGAGAGGGCAGGACATGGGTGGAACAGGTGCACCAACAGTAGGGCACCAGGGATGAGAGAGCTGCTGGTTAGGATTATGGTGAGCACCACAGACCACAGACAAACCAGAATAAACGAACCTGTGGACCAGCGTGTCCTGCACTGAGACACACACCACGCACACCAACAGGGACGAAGCACGTTGCCCACATTGTATCGATGTATGCGAATGTGGATAAGTCAGCTCATTTTCTCCTTCCCCTCCCCACAACCAAGTTTACTGCTGCTCCTGGCTCCCCCATCCTGGGGAATAGCACATGGTAAGAACCTCAGCACCCACTCCACTCCTCTCGCCCTCATCTCCACACAGCTACCTGTCAATTCCACCTTCACACTCTTTCTGCCAACTGAGCCCTCCTCATCTCTCTGCCTCTGGCCTGCCTCCCCACTACAACTGAGTTTCCATGCAGTTCTCAGAGGAATCCCTCGAAGGCACATGTGCAACCTCATCACTTCCAGGCTGAAAGATCTTGGTTAAGAGAAATATTAGTACAAGCTATTAAGACTTAGGAGGCTGCCGGGCATGGTGGCACATGCCTGTAGTCTCAGCATTTTGGGAGGCCAAGGTGGGCTGACTGCTTGAGCCCAGGAGTTCAAGACCAGCATGGGCAACATAAAGAGACCCTATCTCTACAAAAAAAAAAAAAAAAAATTAGCTGGTGCCTTAGTCCGTTTTCATGCTGCTGATAAAGACATACCTGAGACTGGGCAATTTACAAAAGAGGTTTAGGCCAGGTGCGGTGGCTCATGCCTGTAATCCCAGCACTTTGGGAGGCCAAGGCAGGTGGATCACCTGAGGTCAGGAGTTCGAGACTAGCCTGGCCAACATGTTGAAACCCCATCTCTACTAAAAAATACAAAAATTAGCCAGTCGTGGTGGCACGTCTGTAATCCTAGCTACTTGGAAGGCTGAGGAAGGAGAATCGCTTGAATCTGGGAGGCGGAGTTTGCAGTGAGCCAAGATAGCACCACTGCACTGCAGCCTGAGTGACAGAGCTAGACTGTGTCTCAAAAAAAAAAAAAAAGAAAAGAAGTTTAATGGACTTATAGTTCCACATAGCTGGGGAGGCCTCACAATCACGGCAGAAGGCAAGGAGGAGCAAGTCACGTCTTACATAAATGGCCGCAGGCAGAAAAAGAGCTTGTGCAGGGAAACTCCCGTTTTTAAAACCATCAGATCTCGTGAGACTCATTCACTATCAAAAGAACAGTGCAGTAAAGACCTGCCCCCATAATTCAGTCACCTCCCACCAGGTTCTTCCCATAACATGTGGGAATTGTGGGAGTTACAATTCTAGATGAGATTTGGGTAGGGACGCAGTGAAACCATATCAGTCAGGCATGGTGGCATGCACCTGTAATCACAACTACTCAGGAGGCTGAGGTGGGAGGATCAATTGAGCCTGGGAGGTCGAGGCTGCAGCGAGTTGTGATTGTGCTACTGCACTCCAGCCTGGGTGACAGCGAGACCCTGGTCTTGGGGAAAAAAAACAAGAAGACTTAGAAAGCTACAGTGATGAAAACAGTGTCATACTGGCACACGCATACAGAGATCAATGACACAGAATATACAGTAGTTCAGAAATAGCTACTTACAGTTACTTAGTAGTAAAAAGATGACTGGCAGGATGTATTTGTGCCATATATGATAGACAAAATGTTAATTGCCTGGATACATATAAAGCACCTACAAATCAATTTCAGAAAGACCAACAATCCAATAGAAAAGTGAGCCAGAGACATGAGCAGCTAGTTCATAGCAGAGGAAACATGCATGACTTCATCTAGGCAGAGATGCTCAAGCTCACTCGTAAAAGAGAAGCAAATTAATGTGGTAGTGAAATGCCACTTTTTCGTCTCTCAGATTAGCAAAGCTAAAAAAAAAATCCTGAAACTTCTACTGGTGAGGGTGTAAGGAAACTCAGACATGACAGGTAGTGGGGCATAAATTAAACTTCTTTGGAGGGTAATATATCTGTATTTAAATTGTAAATATTCTTTGTTCCATTTCTACTAATTTCTTTCTTTTCTTTTCTTTCTTTTTTTTTTCTTTTTTTTTTTCTTTTTTTTTTTTTTTTGAGACGTAGTCTCACTCTATCACCCAGGCTGGAGTTCAGTGGCACGATCTCAGCTCTTGGCTCACTGCAACCTCTGTCTCCCAGATTCAAGCAATCTCCTGCCTCACCTTCTGGAGTAGCTGGGATTACAGGCACTGCGACCATTCCTGGCTAATTGTGTGTGTGTGTGTGTGTGTGTGTGTGTGTGTGTGTGTGTGTGTGTGTGTGTGTTTAGTAGAGATGGGGTTTCACCATGTTGGCCAGGCTGGTCTCGAACTCCTCACCTCAAGTGATCTACCCGCCTCAGCTTCCCCCCCAGAGTGCTGAGATTACAGGCACGAGTCATGGTGCCAGCCTCATTTCTATTAATTTCTTAAGCAAATCAAGAGCATACATTGTGGCATTGTTTGTAGTGGCAAAAGATTGGAAACAACCTAAATGTCCATCATAGGAAATTCATGAAATAAAACTACCTCATGTATCCAGAGGAATACCATGAAACTGTTGAAGAGAATGGGGACATAGTCCTTGTGTGCTGTGACAAAACGATCTCCACACACAGTATTAAGGGAAAAAAAGTACCTGGCACGGTGGCTCATGCCTGTAATCCCAGAACTTTGGGAGGCCGAGGTGGGCGGATCACCTAAGGTCAGGAGTTCGAGACCAGCTTGACCAATATGATGAAACCCCATCTCTACTAAAAATACAAAAATTAACCAAGTGTGGTGGCATGCGCCTGTAATCCCAGCCACTTGGGAGGCTGAGACAGGAGAATCGCTAGAACCTGGGAGGTGGAAGTTGCAGTGAGCCCACATGGTGCCAGCCTGGGCAACAAGAGTGAAACCCCATCTAAAAAAAAAAAGCAAGGCGCCATTGGGAAGGGGAAGTGGGGCCTGCATGGCTGAATTCAGAGAAGGAAGGGAGTCTTGGTTATCAGATTATCTCTGCAGCTGATCTCCAAACCTATTTCCCTTCTTCCTGGCACAGGGGCCACTCATTTCCCAGACTCTTTTGCATGGAGGCATGGTTGTGTGATTGAAATCCAGCCAGGCGAGCAGGCTCAGCCCACAGAAACCTCCCATGGGCCACCCCCATGCCTTTTCTTCCTCTGGTTTGTGTGGAATGGTGCTGAGCCCCCAGGGCGACTTTGGTGGAATCTGGTGTTGAAATCAGAGTCCCACCGCCGGGCGCGGTGGCTCACGCCTGTAATCCCAGCACTTTGGGAGGCCGAGGCAGGCGGATCATGAGGTGAGGAGATCGAGACCATCCTGGCTAACACGGTGAAACCCCGTCTCTACTGAAAATACAAAAAATTAGCCGGGCGTGGTGGCAGGCGCCTGTGGTCCCAGCTACTCCGGAGGCGGAGGCAGGAGACTGGTGTGAACCCGGGAGGCAGAGCTTGCAGTGAGCCGAGATCGTGCCACTGCACTCCAGCCTAGGCGACACAGTGAGACTCCGTCTCAAAAAAAAAAAAAAAAAAAAGAATAAGCAAATCATGCAAATCATCCTGTTCTAAACTCTGAACCGCTGCTTCCAAGACCGTCCCTGCCCTTGCCCTGGCCGCCTCTCTCCTTGTTAACTGGGCTCCATTCATTCTTTCCATTTCTCTAACACGTGCCAGGTGGTCTCATCTCCTGGCCTTTGCCCTTGCTGTTCCCTGTCATCATTCAGGTCTCACTTGTCATTTCCTGACCATGGTACTTATAAAAGCAGTGCCGTCTGCCCCATCCATGTCACCTCGTTCATCTCCTTCACCTCCGAAATGATCTCGCTTTTGGGTTTACGGCCGGTCTCTTCACCTGGAGCATCAGCCGGGAAGGTCAGGGTCGCCCTGGCTCGGGCCTGTTCACATTGGGGTCAAAGGCACACATTGGGGGCTCAACCAAGGCGAGCTGCGTTCGCGGGGCCGGGTCTTTCCGCACAGGCGGAGGGCGGTGGCGGGCGCGGAGGCGTCGCGCGAGCCAGGGGGCAGCCACGGGCCGGGGGTACCTAGCGCCACCCGCTTCGCTTGCATCAGCTGCGCGCCCCATCCCGAGGAATGGTAGAGGCAGCCCCGCCCCCGGCCCGCCCCCGCCTTTCCATTGGCTGCCGCGCGGGGCGGGGAGCGGGGTCGGCTCAGTGGCCCTGAGACCCTAGCTCTGCTCTCGGTCCGCTCGCTGTCCGCTAGCCCGCTGCGATGTTGCGCGCTGCCGCCCGCTTCGGGCCCCGCCTGGGCCGCCGCCTCTTGTCAGCCGCCGCCACCCAGGCCGTGCCTGCCCCCAACCAGCAGCCCGAGGTCTTCTGCAACCAGGTGAGCCCACCGGCCGGGCTCGCGCTTTGTTTTCCGGCCCGAGTCCCCCGCAGGCCCCTAGGAAGGCCCCGCGCCGCCGTGGGCCTTAGTGTACTCATCTGGGGCTCGAGGGGTTTGCAGAGGCTGACCTGGAAGCACATCTGCCCCCTCCTCTCCTGCAAGCATTTTAGCCCCTTCGCCGCCTCTGACAGTCCCCGTCCCATTTCCCCGTGACTTGGGCCCCCTCTCCGTCTTCGCCCAGCCTCGGTCTGTTTTCCAGGGCCAACTCTCGGGGTTCCGTTCTCCCCATGGTCCTTGCTTTCGGGTCTCCGCAGGGTCCCCACCCTCACCCACTCAGAAGACGCGACCAAGTCCCTCTTTGCAGGAACTTTCCTGTCTTTTCCTTAGTCATCCCCTTTACCCCCTGACTCATGCCCTCATCCAAGGAGTTCAAAAGGAAAAACCAGGAAAGAGGTGATTTGCAGCCACGTTCTCCAGTTCACCATGGGCGAGGCCACGCTCGGCTGCTTCCATTGCTGGGAGTAGGGAATCCTGGAGGACCTTCGGCCCCAGGGGGCCGACCCCAAGGGGTGTCTGCGGCTTCCAACGCCGGCTTCGACCAAACCAAGGAGGAGCTTTCCAGGATAAAACTGATTCCTGTGGTCCATTTATTGATTGCTCAATCAGTAATACTTTGGAATATTTTTTGTTTTGATCTTTGAGTTTGGTTAAAGTTCTAGACTTCACAGAGGCTGAAATTGGTTATGAAAGAGTTTGTTTTGTTTGTGCCAGTGCATGTTGGCTGCCTTCTCTGACTTAAGCTTTTTCTCCTATAAATGGAAAGGCGCTCTGAGGGTTAGGTTCACACAGGCCCTCATCAACCAGTCACTTCATAGTTAATCACAGCTCCTGTCCTGTCTGCACAGCCTTTGTGCAGCACTGTTCTAAGCGTCTACCTGTTTTGCAATTTAAGGTAATTTTTACAACAGCCTCAGTAGGAAGGGACTGTAATTCTCCATTTTACAGATGAAGAGACTGAGTCACAAAGAGGTTTAGTGACTCACCTAAAGACCAAAGTCAGTGGCATAGTTGGGGTTCACAGCTGAACTTCCAGGAGTAAGCCCCTAACCAGAACATTCCATGGTATGTTGTGACTCTGGGTGGGAACAAAGGGACCACCGATCCTCTGGGACTATTGCTGATTTGGGATGCTGTAGAGCTGGCTCCTAGCCAGCTGCTTTCAACAGCACACCTGCTGGTCTGGCCCTGAGTGTGGCTGCAAATCTGGATATAGGTGATGGGTAAAGGCACATGCGTGTGATTTTAGGGGATGTTACAAAGGTCATTTGCAAGGGAATTTTTAAAAGGATAAAATAAAATCTTTTGCATAACACAAGCTAAAAAGGCAGCAGCTATGGCTCCCTTGGCAGCCTGTGCAAGTTCATGCTTGGAAGACTTGAGCATCAAAAGATCTAGCAGAGGCCAGGTGCAGTAGCTCATGCCTGTAAATCCCAGCATTTTGGGAGGCCGAGGTGGGATGATCCGTTGAGCCTAGGATTTCGAGACCAGCCTGGGCAACATAGCAAGACCCTGTCTCTAGTCTCTACTAAAAAAGTAAATTAGTTAGGTGCGGTGGCACATGCCTGTAGTCCCAGCTATATGGGAGGCTGAGGTGGGATGATCCCTTGAGCCTAGGATTTCGAGACCAGCCTGGGCAACATAGCAAGACCCTGTGTCTAGTCTCTACTAAAAAAGTAAATTAGTCAGGTGCGGTGGCACATGCCTGTAGTCCCAGCTATATGGGAGGCCGAGGTGGGAGGATCACTTGAGCCTAGGAGTTCGAGGCTGCAGTGAGCTATGATTGGGCCACTACACTTAGTCTGAGCAACAGAACAAGACCCTGTCTCAGAAATGTCCTCAAGGAACAGCCATCGCCCTAGGAACCCTTCTGGCCACAGGATCTGATTAAAATCTTTATCCTTTATCACATGCAGATGAGGCAGCTGGGTCCAGATATGCACCCAGGCCCATAGGTAACACATCCTGTTCTCCAGATTTACTCTGTGGGTGTAGGCTGGAGGAGCCGAGTCAATTCCCTGTGGCTGCTTTTCTTTATCAGACTTTTTGAGATCATTAAAGTAACACATGCCCACTGTATAAAATTGCAGAGGACTGACTTACAACTCTCTGGACATGGTCAGTCAAGGTGATTCATGCCTGTAATTCCAGCACTTTGGGATGCCAAGGTGGGAAGATCGCTTGAGATTAGATGTAAGGCTGCAGTGAACTATGATTGTGCCACTGCACTCCAGCCTGGGCAATGGAGCAAGAACCCATCTCTTAAAAAATAAATAAATAAATAAACCTCTCTGGATACCCCATTTTACTCCCTCCAAGAGCACTGTGAACAGGTGGGTGTGTCTCTTGTAGACATTTTGTTTGCATTTACAAGTGCCTGCAGCAAGAGAGAGAGAGAGAGAATGCAAGCACACCAGACTTTTTTTTTTTTTTAACATAAATGAGATGCAACCACTTATATTCTGAAGCTCGCCGTCTCACTGAACAATGTACCTGGGTTATCATTCTGAGTACGTTCAGATCTCATTTAACCCTTTCCAAGGACCACAGAGCATTCTACTCTGGTGGCGCCGTGCTGGAACTGGACCTCTTAGAGCCCCCTGGGCTGTTTGCAGTGTGGCCTTATTGCTGACTCAGCAGGGAAGAGGGATGGTGCATACAGCAGTGGACTCTGCACCTCAGCTGCCTCATCTGTAAAATGGGGTAAAATGGCTGGGTGCAGTGGCTCACACCTGTAATCCCAGCATTTTGCAAGACTGAAGCAGGCGGATCACGAGGTCAGGAGTTCGAGACTAGCCTGGCCAACATAGTGAAACCCTGTCTCTACTGAAAATACAAAAATTAGCTGGGCATGGTGGCGCGCACCTGTAATCCCAGCTACTTGGGAGGCTGAGGCAGGAGCATCACTTGAACCTGGGAGGCAGAGGTTGCAGTGAGCCGAGATCACACTACTGCATTCCAGCCTGGGTGACAGAGCGAGACTCCATCTCAAAAAAAAAAAAAAATGTGGGGGGTAAAATTCCATCTGCATCACCGAATTGCTGTGAGGACCAAATGGGGTGAGGCTTCTGCAGCCACAGGCAGTGCTGGCTTCATGGCCACTGGTGCCTCCATATTGACTGCAGCCTTAAGCAGGAGCTGGGATAACAGTGACGCTGTGGACTTGCAGTGTCTTGGTGATCAAACTCCATTTGATATGGATGCTGTTGTATTTGCAGTTTGTTTCCTGAAGGGGTGAGCTAGATTGTGGTAAAGTAGAATGGGAGTTTGGGGTGAATTAAAACTTGCATCTTTATTCTTACCCTCTCTTTCTGTTTTTGTTTTTGTTTTGAGACAGGGTCTCTCACTGTTGCCCAGGCTGGAGTGTAGTAGTGCTCACTGCAGCCTCAACCTCCCAGGCTCAGTCAACAAGTTATCCTCCTACTTCAGTCTTCCAAGTAGCTGAGACTACAGGCATACCCCACCACACCTGACTAATTTTTGTATTTTTTATTTTATTTTATTTATTTGAGACAGACTCTTGCTCTGTTGCCCAGGGTGGAGTGCAGTGGTGTGATCTTGGCTCACTCTAACCTCCACCTCCTGGGTTCAAGCGATTCTCCTGCTTGAGCCTCCTGAGTAGCTAGGATTACAGGTGCCCACCACCACGCCTGGCTAATTTTTTTGTATTCTTAGTAGAGATGAGGTTTCGCCATGTTGGCCAGGCTGGCTGGTCTTGAACTCCTGGCCTCAGGTGATCCACCTGCCCTGGCCTCCCAAAGTGCTGGGATTAAGGCACTGCAGCCAGCCAATTTTTTATAATTTTTATAGAGATGGGGTTTTGCCATGTTGCCCAGGCTGGGTCTTGAACTTCTAGGCTCAAGCAATCTTCCCTCCTTGGCCTCCCAAAGTGCTGGGATTACAGTGTGAAGCACTGAACTAAAGAGAGAACTGACAGGCAATTAAGGATGGATTTCCCAAGGCTAGGTGTGGTGGCTCACAGCTGTAATCCCAGCACTTTCAGAGGCTAAGGTGGGAAGATTGCTTAACCCCAGGAGTTCGAGACCAGCCTGGGCAACATAGCAAAACTCCATCTCTACAAAAGCTTAAAAAAATTAGCTGGACATGGTGGTGAGCACCTGTAGTCACAGCTACTTGGGCGGCTGAGGCAGGAGGATTGCTTGAGCCAAGGAGTTTGAGGCTTCAGTGAGCTTTGATCTTGCCACTGCACTCCATCCTGGGCAACACTGCAAGTATACATAGGCACCATACAGAAATGTTCATTGCAACTTCTTTTATGTCAGTAAAAGCTTAGGAAATAAGCCAGCTCGAGCTCCATTGGGAAATAGATGAACACCTATGTTACAGTTATAGGAGGAAATAATCCTCTGCATGTAGCAGTTACAAATCATTGGCTCAACCTGTACAAATAATGTATCTCAAAAACAATATGTCAAGGAGGAAAAATGTCCAGCACTCTACACCATATGAAACCATGAAAACTGTACAAAACTTTATGTTGTATGTAGATAGACAGATCTCCATAAAAAATGTGTAAGAATGTGCTGGAAGGAAAATTCTCCTTGGTGTGAGGGTGGTTACTGCCTGAGTGGGCAGGACAGGATAAGGGTAGTGATGAACGAGGACTCTGGCTTCATTTAAATGTTTGATTTCTTTAAAAATTGGCCAGGCACGGTGGCTCACGCCTGTAATCTCCGCACTTTGGGAGGCTGAGGCGGGCAGATTGCTTGAGCACAGGAGTTCGAGACCAGCCTGACCAACATGGTGAAACCCTGACTCTGCTAAAAATACAAAAATTAGCTAGGCCTGGTAGCCCACGCTTGTAATCCCAGCTACTCCGGAGGCTGAGGCATGAGAATCACTTTAACCCGGGAGGCAGAGGTTGCAGTGAGCCGAGATCGCACCACTGTACTCCAGCCTGGGTGACAGAGTGACACTTCGTCTGAAAAAAAACTCCCCAAAAAACAAAAAAAACTTAATACCCCATGAGCAGATATTAAAAGAAAAAAGAAAAAATATAATGGTCCCCTGATGTGCCACCCCTGCAGATAATCACTGTTAACGGTATATCTGAAGCAGAAATTTGCTTTTTCTTGTTTGCCTGGGAGATTCTTACAGAATGAGCCAAAACCTGTGTTTTGGAGTGACTTTGTGCTGACTGAATCTCCCTATTGATTGTACAGGTTGATGACTTCTTTAGGAGTGTCCTTTGTTTTTGTTTTTGTTTTTGAGATGTAGTCTCACTCTGTCGCCCGGGCTGGAGTGCAGTGGCACGATCACGGCTCACTGCAACCTCTGCCTCCCGGGTTCAAGCGATTCTCCTGCCTCAGCCTCCTGAGTAGCTGGGATTACGGGTGCCGCCACCATGCCCAGCTAATTTTGTATTTTTAGTAGAGTTGGGGTTTCACCATGTTGGCCAGGCTAGTCTCAAACTCCTGACCTTGTGATCCACCCGCCTTGGCCTCCCAAAGTGCTGGGATTACAGGCGTGAGCCACTGCACCTGGCCTCTTTTTTTTTTGGTTTTTTTTTTTTTTTTTGAGACAGGGTCTTGCTCTGTTGCCCAGGCTGGAGTGCAATGGCATGATCATAACTCACTGCAACCTCAAACTCTTGGGCTGAAGCGATCCTCCTGCGTCAGCCACTAGAGGCACTGGGATTATAGGCATGGGCCACAACATCCAGCTAGGAGTTTTAAGAGCCTCTATAGAAATAGATTTAGGTGGCCGGGCATGGCAGCTCATGCCCTGGCATAAGAGTGAGGCCTAGTGACAGAGTGAGACTCCGTCTCAAAAAAAAAAAACAAAAAGAAATAGATTTAGGCAGGCTGGGTGTGGTGGCTCATGCCTGTAATCCCAGCACCTTGGGAGGCCGAGGCAGGCGGATCACCTCAGGTGGAGACCAGCCTGACCAATATGATGAAACCCCGTCTCTACTAAAAATACAAAAATTGGCCGGTGTGGTGGCATGTACCTGTAATCCCAGCTACCTGGGAGGCTGAGACAGGAGAAACGCTTGAACCCAGGAGGCGGAGGTTGTGGTGGGGCCCAGTGACACCGCCCGCCTCAGCCTCCCAAAGTGCTGGGATTACAGGCATGAGCCACCGTGGCCGGCCCGTGTTTTTAATCAGAGAACACAAATGGGCATTCAATACTTCCTGCCTGCCCAGAATCTGTGGGACACACTTGAGTTTCAGGTGACAGGGCTATAATAATGTTTGTGCTCCTGAGGTCAAGCTGAGTTGAGAATTTACATGTTGTGGACATGTGTATGTATTCCCTGCTCCAGTAATCATGATTATTCATCACCTATTTTCCATCAGGCCCTCTACTGAGGACTTCTACCTGCATTTCACCTTTCATCCTACCCGCAACTCTATAAGCCTGGTAGTATTGCTGTCCCGTCTTGCGGGTGAGGAAACTGAGGCTCAGGGAGGTCAAGTTCACATTAAGTATAACTAAGGGCATGTGTGTGAAGGTTGGGCAGGGCAGAATTTGAAGCCCACTTTCAAACTTATAACTTAATGTGAACTTGACCTCCCTGAATAATGATCAGACCATAAGAATGTATTAATAAACATTTAAGGGACAATTGAATAGAATTTTAAAATCAGAGAGGAGGAGCCATGTTTGTATTGTTCACTTTTGCATTCCTGGCACCTAGCACCTTAGCATAGGATCACTGTTGGGTAAATATTTATTGAATAATGAATGGTTGCCATTTACGAAACCATGTTTACAGTTTTGTGCTCCAGAAGTGAGGTAAAGGGTTGCTTAATGAGAACCCAGTATTTCTACTCAAAAGGACCTTATTGCAAAGTATTTGGAAGTTTAAAAGAGTGGGAACATGGGGACGCATAGGGAGTGGTGAAACTGGCTCAGGGAAAGTCCATTGCAGCAAGATAGAGGTTGCCAAACCGTAAGCAGAACAAGTTGAAACCGCGCCTGTCTGGCAAACAGTCCAAAGTGGAATTGAAACTCCCATCTTTGAAGTGGTGAAAAAAGGCCCTGGGGTGGGGGAGTGGGGCAGAGGGCTGGCGTCTGTCTGCCTGGGTTAGTCTTGGTTCGGGAGTGTCCCGAGCAAGCCTGGGGAGATGACTGCCCCTCGCCTTGATCCCCAACTAACCTGGGGTTCTGGATTATGTGTGGGGAAGAGGGAATGTGTGTGGCATTCCGTGTTTGTCTTGAACTTTACTCCCTGGAATCTTGTAATACAAGCAATGGCATCTGCTTTCCATCGGACATAATCACCTAACCGCAGATTAGCAAGTGAAAGAGCACATGCCGTTGGGATCATCCCAGGCTGCAAAACCGCGCCATTAGCTTGCTCACTCTTTGGGAAAATACGGTGTTCCAGGGACGGGGATTTCCTAGGTAACATGTCCAGTTCTCTCATGCATCAAAGCTTGAACTGAAATCTTTCTAGAATGTATCCTGCCTCCTTAAATCAGAACTACTGAACACAGTTTAGCCTTTCATTGGAGACCCTGGGCAGATGATTACTGAACACAGTTTAGCCTTTCATTGGAGACCCTGGGCAGATGATAACCACCCATTGTCATGAGGTCTGGGGGTGGTGGCCAGAATTTCATTCTCTCCTGGCCTTGGTCTGACCTCCGCCCCCAAGGTCCAGTTGTCCTGCTCTGGGCACTGACCCTGCCCCAGCTCCTGAGCCCCTCGACCACCACAATCACCACTAAGTCTCTGCCTGGCATGGAGAACAAGATAGCCAAGGTGAAGAGGGATCCTGTTACCCTCTAACTCAGTAGTTCTAATTTCTACACAGTAATCTGCCCCATGTTTGGAAAAACGCATGTGAAAGGGTTCGCCACAGCTGTTGCTGGAATGGCGATCACTTGTCCTAAAAGTGCATTTGTAGGAAATCGTTAAATAAACCATGGCCTGACCGTGTTGAGGAACGCTATGTGGCTTAACATGAGGCAGAGCTGCCTGTGGAATAACGTCCAAGAGAAACTGAGAAAAGCGAGTTAGCAAACAGCAAGTCTATTACCCCCACTTAGAAAGGACACGGCAGTGTCCCGGTTCTCTGGTCTCCTGGGTCCTCCCAGCATCAAGTGCAGATCCTGGCACACAGCAGGTAGAATCGCGAGCCCCCCGCTCTCCCCTCACCTACACCCTGCAGCCACTCCTCCTGTCCCCAGGCTCTTCCTAGCAGTCACCCTTCAGACCCCTCAGCTGGCCAAGCCTCCTCCTGCTTCTCACTTGCTTGGTTTTGCTTGTTTCCTGCGCCCTCTCCTCACCAGGACTTCAGCTCCCACAAGCCAGGACTTGGCTCTTGGACTCCCTGTGCTGGAGTGGCCAGGGCTGTCAGTGAAAGCTTATGGAATGCGTGGGTGAATGAATCCAATTTTTACAAAACAAAGTGAGATGTATTTATTAAAATATGTAGGAATTAGAGTATTTTGATAGAAAATCTTTATGTTTTGCCTACAGTCTAGATTGAAAATGTCAACTCCAGACATCACTGTGCTTCTGGAAACTATAAAGAGGAAGTGGGAGCTAGGACATCCCCCCACCACGCCCCGCCCAAGAGCGTTTACGTGTGTTATGTAAGTCGAGCTTCGGGTTTCTGGTCAGGAGGTTATAAAGCATTTGGCCCAGAGTCTGGCCTGGTGTTTATTCAGGAAAACTGCTCCTCACTTGAAGCAGAACTTTGGCAGAAACTCAGTGTGAGAACAGTTCCTACCCAGCCCCCCACCGGGGAGGGAAGCCACTGAGTCTGGCTCTGGGAGAAGGGAAATGGGAAATGTAAACCGGAGGAGGTTTCCAGCGTCCTACAGCAGACCCAGGTTTATCTTATCAGTGGAGAAGGGAGGATGGGTTGTTGAAAATGCAGCCTGGTTCAACAGTGAAGGGTGATTGAGAACATTCTGGGCTTTGAAAGGCAAACATGCCAGGGAGTGGTCTTTCCAGGATCCTAATCTAAATCAGAGGGGCCAGCCCAGCGAGGAAGGGGTGGGGCTGGTGGGGTTTTAGCCAGACTGGCCCACCTCTCCCCTTCCTACTTCCTGATCTTTGCAAAATAAAGTTTAAAATCCAGGACAATTTAGTATGCTTTGGTGCAGGGAACAACATAAAGAGTATAGACCTGGCCCTCGCTCCTAAGAATCTTTAAGCTACGAGAGAGCTGCAGGATCTAGAACACTGCAGGACCCCCTGCGGGCAAGGTCCTAGCTTAGGAACTGTACACTCGTTCTTGCATTTAACCTTCACATCAGCCCCCAGAAGTACTCGATGAGGCATCTGGGAAGTGAAGGGATTTGCCCAGGGTCAAATCTGTGAGGGATGGAGTCAGAATTCAAACCCAGGCCGGGCATGGTGGCGCACAGCTGTAATCCCAGCACTTTAGGAGTCCAAGGCAGGAGGATCACTTGAGCACAGGAGTTTGGGACCAGCCTGGCCAACATGGTGAAAGCCCATCTCTACAAAAAATACAAAAAAAATCCCACCTTTATTTAAGAAAAAAAATTCAAACCCAGATCTGTTTGGCTTTGAGGTTGGTGCTTTTTACAACATTCAGAATAAAATTTTTTTTTTTTTTGAGACTCTGTTGCCCAGGCTGGAGTACAGTGGTGCAATCTTGGTTCACTGCAACCTCCATCTCCTAGGTTCAAGCAATTCTCCTGCCTCAGCCTGTCGAGTAGCTGGGATTACAGGCAAGTGACACCATGCCCAGCTAATTTTTGCATTTTTAGTAGAGACAGGGTTTCACCATGTTGTCCAGGCTGGTCTCGAACTCCTGACCTCAAATGATCCACCTGCCTTGGCCTCCCAAAGTGCTGGGATTACAGGGATGAGCCACTGTGCCTGGCTCAGAATCAAAATGTGAAATCAACGTGTGTTGAGTCAGTAAGTAAACCATAAAGATGGAGATTTGGGAATCAGAATTCCAACCTCCTTGAAGGCAGACCTGGGCTATGGCTGGAGGTTGGAGTTGGGAAAAACACAGGCCTTGGAGTCCCAAAGACCTGGCTTCAAAGCCTGGCTCTGCCTTTGCTGCTGTGTGACCTAGAGCCAAGTGGCTGGACTCTTCTGTGCCCAGCATCCTCTGCTGTGAAGTGGAGAGGATGAAGTTCACCTCCTAGGTTTGCTATGAGGTTTAAATGGGAACAATCCAAGTACACAGAACCGCTGGTGTGGGGCTGGTTCTTGAGGGGTAGCTAGTGAATGTTAGCCATGTCCATGACACGCAGAGGGCTGAGTGGACTTCCTCCCTGGGTGGGGGAGGAAGAAGCTTGGGGATAGTACAAGGCCAACCAGACCTACTTCCACCCAGCCCAGCCTAGTGCTTCTCTGTACTCTCCTAACCCTGCTGACCCAAGTGCTTTGCTGTGAGGCAGTTGTGTGTGAGGCGTGAACCCTGAGCCTGTGCTACAGGGGGAAGGAGAGAAGGATGCCTACTCAATGGCTGCAAGCTGCCTGCCCGCCCCCCACGCCCGTGAGCCCCCATCTTCCAGCAGGCAGACCCGGGAACTCCCTTCTCCTCCACGGGCACCCCGAGGAGGAGCTGACTTTCAGAGTCGGGGAGTAAACACCCAGGACCTGCTGCCCAGGCACGGCATAGTCCAACTTGAACTTAGGTCTGGCAGTTTCCTGGCTTTGAACCTGAGCTCTTTATTGCCACACCTGTCCCCACACTGGAAATGACCCAGCCCTCCCGTGGAAAGAAAGAAGGGTGCCATTTCCCTAAAAATTAACGATTGACTAACTAATATGAAACCACACAAGCACGCCTCCAGAACCCCAGTTAATGTTTACCCATGTTCTTCTCCGGTGCCAAGAGCCTTTCCTGTGGGTGCACAACTGCGGGTTCCACCATAGAGATTATGCGGAACAAATTTCAGCCTGGGAATATGATTCCTGCTAGGCCCTTACCTGAACGACTCCTTCCTGGGGCACTCTGTTTCCACCCTGCCATCGTCATGGCGTTGGGCATTCACTCCATGCTTGGCGCAGAGACTGCAGACCCTCACATGGCTTTATAAAAAGGGGGCTCTAGGGTGATTCCCACCCTACAGATGAGGAAACAAAGACACAGGGGTGAGGTGCTTGTCCCATGTGACAAAATCAGGAGCAAAAGAGCCCATATTCGGCCAGGCGCGGTGGCTCACGCCTGTAATCCCAGCACTTTGGGAGGCCGAGGTGAGTGGATCACCTGAGGTCAGGAGTTGGAGACCAGCCTGGCCAACATGGTGAAACCCCGTCTCTACTAGAAATACAAAAATTAGCCGGGCATGGTGGCAGGCATCTGTAATCCCAGCTACTCAGGAGGCTGAGGCAGGAGAATCGCTTGAACCTGAAAGGCGGAGGTTGCAGTGAGCCGGGATCGCTCCATTGCACTCCAGCCTGGGGAACAAGAGCCAGACTTTGTCTAAAAAAAAAGAAAAAAAAAACCCTCACACCTGTAATCCCAGCACTTTGGGAGGCCCAGACGGGCGGATCACGAGGTCAGGAGATTGAGACCATCTTGGCTAACTCGGTGAAACCCCGTCTCTACTAAAAACACAGAAAAATTAGCCGGGCATGGTGGCAGGCGCCTATAGTCCCAGCTACTTGGGAGGCTGAGGCAGGAGAATGGTGTGAACCTGGGAGGTTGGAGTGCAGTGAGCTGAGATTGCGCCACTGCACTCCAGCCTGGGCAACAGAATGAGACTCTGTCTCAGGAAAAAAAAAAAAGCCCATATTCGTCCAGATTCTTTTTTTTTTTTTAAGAGTCTTTTTCTGTCACCCAGGCTGGAGTGCAGTGATGCAATCACGGCTTACTGCAGCCTCAACCTCCCAGGCTCAAATGGTCCTCCCACCTCAGCCTCCTGAGTAGCTGAGACTATAGGCACGCAACCACACCTGGCTAATTTTTCACTTTTTGTGGAGAGAGGGTCTCACTATGTTACCCATGTTGGTTTCAAACTCCTGAGCTCAAGCAATCCTCCCACCTTGGCCTCCCAAATTGTTAGGATTACAGGCGTGAGCCACTGTGCCTGGCCACCCAGATTCTTGTCTTGAACCTCTGCTCCTTTTTGTGTTTTCTTTTTTGAGAGAGGGTCTTGCTCTGTCACCCATGCTGGAGGCAGTGGTGTGATCATGGCTCACTGCAGCCTCAACCTCCCAGACTCAAGCAAGTGATCCGTCCATCTCAGCCTCCTAAGTAGCTGGGATTACAGGCGCATGCGACCACACTTGGCTAATTTTTCATTTTTTGTGGAGATGGAGGTCTCACTATGTTACTCAGGTTGGTCTCAAATTCCTGAGCTCAAGCAATTCTCATGCCTTGGCCTCCAAAAGTGCTGGGACTACAGGTGTGAGCCACTGTGCCAGGCCAAATGTCTGCTTTTGACCAGTGAGCCTGGCCACCCCTCCCCAGCCCTGTTGTGAGCCTCACTCCAGGCTTTGCTTGGCAGCTCGGTATTCTTTATGGTCCGAGACTCTGGCCCAG
Source organism: Homo sapiens (assembly GCF_000001405.40). Lineage (NCBI taxonomy): Eukaryota > Metazoa > Chordata > Mammalia > Primates > Hominidae > Homo > Homo sapiens. Next base: position 111,779,605 of record NC_000012.12, read on the forward strand.
AGTGACCATGGATGTCTCACTGGAGTTCTAGGCCAGGGCCAGGACATGCAGGGATGCTGGGGCCAAAGGGACCCCCAAGGAAGGCAGGCAGAGAGGCAGATGTCTTTGCCTTCACGTCACCTGTAGCCTTTGCCTCAGCACTGGTGAGGTGACCATGGACCCTGCCAGGACACTGGTTTACCAAGCCCGAAGGGAACAGCTTGCTGGGAGATGTCTTCTCTGCACTCCCCAAGACCATCGCCCAGTGCCTGGAAAGCAGAGGGCGAACTCTGGCACTTTATGTATGTATTTATTTTTATTTTTTGAGACGGAGTTTCACTCTCGTTGCCCAGGCTGGAGTGCAATGGCGTGATCTTGGCTCACTGCAACTTCTGCCTCCTGGGTTCAAGCGATTCTCCTGCCTCAGCCTCCCGAGTAGCTGGGACTACAGGCGCCTGCCACCACACCTGGCTAATTTTTTGTATTTTTAGTAGAGATGGGGTTTCACCGTGTTGGCCAGACTGGTCTCAAACTCTGGACCTAAGGTGATCCGCCCACCCCAGCCTCCCAAAGTGCTGGGATTACAGGCATGAACACCGCACGCAGCCTCGCACTTTAATAGGTGACTTTAGGTAATAAGTAAGGACCCTTCCTCTGAGCAAATGGAGGGGCTTTGGCTCTCTGACATTGGCCTCATGAGGAAGGAAGTCTTTCCCCCAGATGTGGCTTGGTTGGGTGATGGCCTGGTCTGAATTACATTCTAGAGGCGGAACCGTCTTGGGACCCGCCCTCCTCCCTGACCCCGTTTTTTATCACTTCCTTTCTGGTTCACCAGTAACTCTGGCCACCTTTGCTTTTTCTCAAATCTACCAGACTTATTCCTGCCCTGGGGCCTTTGCACTTGCTATTCCACAGCCTGGACTGCTGGTCCTCCGGCTCTTCCTGTGGACCCCTCCTTTTCATCATTCCGGACTCGGTCAAATGTCCACTCCTCAGGGTGACCTGCCCCTACCACCACGGCTGGAGTTCTCTACCCCCCACCTTAGTCACCTTCTCTGGATCCTCTTCTTCCCTTCGCCTTCATCTGTACAGTCTGAGGTGGTCTTCTGTGTTTGATTGCCTCTTTATTTCCTGGGCACCATGAGAGCATGGTCTTTGTTGGCTTTTGGCTGTACTGTGTCCTCAGCCCTAGAACTGTGCCTGGCCCATCGCAGGTGTTCATTAAGTGTTTGCTGAGTGAGTGAAGTAATAATCTAGGGCTGGGCATGGTGACTCACACCTGCAATCCCAGGACCTTGGGTGGCTGAGGAGGGAGTATCGCTTGAGTCCAGCCTGGGGAACATAGAGGGACCTCATCTCTACAAGAAATACAAAAATTAGCCAGGCGTAGTGGCGTGTGCCTGTGGTCCCAGCTACTCAGGAGGCTAAGGCAGGAGGATCACTTGAGCTTAAGAGGAAGAGGCTACAGGGAGCCATGATCACGCCACTGCACTCCAGCCTGGGCAGTGGAGTGAGACCCTGTCTCAAAAAAGAAAAAAAACAATAAAAAGAATAATCTAATTTAGTTCTCACAACAAATTTGTGTGGGAGTGGAATAGAATGAAGGTGGTTGCAAATTGTTTGCCATTCCTTCTAGGGAGAAGGGGAGGCTCTCTCCTCAACCTGGGACTCTGGACTGAGCCTGTGACTCACTTTGACCAACAGAATTTGGTGGCAGAAATGAGGCCAAGTGACTTCTGAAGCTAGATCTTAGGAAGCCTTTCAGCTTCCACCTGGGTCTCTAGGAACACTGTCTCAGGGGAAGCCAGCTGCCATGTGGGAAGTCGGACTAGCTTGAGCCAGCCATGCAGTCAGGAAGCCCAAGCAGCCATGTGGTGCCAGACGAGTAAGTGCAGAAGCCATCTTGCACATCCAGCCTCAGAGGTGGATGACTATTGGCCCCAGCTGTCCTCACACTGTAGCCACACAAGGGAACTCTGCCCAGATGAGCCCAACCAGGGGACTCTACTGTGGGAGATAAGAAATCATTTTAAGCCACCAAGTTTTAGGGTGCTTTGTTACACAGCAATGGATAACTAGAACAAGTATGAACATTCTCTTCATTTTTTAAAGAAACCAAGGCACTGAGAAGTCAAGTGACTTACCCAAGGTCACTTGGCAGAGTGAGCATTCTGGCCTAGATTGTCTGCAAGGCCTGTGCTTTTCATTTGTAGGCTACACCACTCTGAAATTAATTCATATTTGCTTTTTCTTGTTTTTTTTTTTCCTTACAATACTGGTAGTCAGTATTAGGTTGACAGCTGGTCCTGAGAACTTCTTTCCTTCTCATTGTAGATTTTCATAAACAATGAATGGCACGATGCCGTCAGCAGGAAAACATTCCCCACCGTCAATCCGTCCACTGGAGAGGTCATCTGTCAGGTAGCTGAAGGGGACAAGGTGAGAACTGGTGACTTACCTTGGGGGAGGGATGGATTCGTCTTCTATTTTATACGTTTTTGTGTGGTGAAAGCTTTACCATATATGTGTATTACTTTCACAAGTAACAGATACCAGTGAAAAATTCCGAGTAAATTAATCAATAGAAACTTGTCTGCAGACAACGGTGTTAATTCACTTAGTGTAGAACTATAGACTTAGAAGTGAATTCGGCAAATATCTAATACAGTGTCTCCTTTCCAGACCTGGAAGTTGAAGGTCAGAGATGGAAACCTTGCTGGGTAGAATTTGGGTCTCCTAAGATCTAGCTCCTGTGGAGGTTTGAATTGTACAGACTGTAGGAACCAATCGAAACTGATAATATTCTGTTTAAAATTTTTAAATTAGACTCTTAGTAAAAATATTTTGTGTTTTTGGCCGGGCGCAGTGGCGCAGGCCTGTAATCCCAGCACTTTGGGAGGCTGAGGTGGGAGGATCACTTGAACCCAGGAATTTGAGACCAGCCCGGGGAAACATAGTGAGATACCATCTCTAAAGTAAACAAAGAAACAAATAAGTAATTTAAAACTAAGAAAATACAGGCCAGGCGCAGTGGCTCAAGCCTGTAATCCCAGCACTTTGGGAGGCCAAGGTGGGCAGATCATGAGGTCAGGAGTTTGAGACCAGCCTGACCAACATGGTGAAACCCCGTCTCTACTAAAAATACAGAAATTAGCCAGGTGTGGTGGCATCTCTTGAGTAATCCCAGCTACTCAAGAGGCTGAGGTAGGATAATTGCTTGAACCCGGGAGGCGGAGGTTGCAATGAGCCGAGATTGCGCCACTATACTCCAGCCTGGGCGACAGAGCGAGATTTCGTCTCAAAAAAAAAACAAAAAAAAAGAAAATACAGAAATTATCCGGATTCTCATTCCCACCAGGACTTCATGAAAGGAGGGGAAGGTCATGTTATTCAACCCCATTGCTGAAGTCTGGTGCTCATCAGGGCTCTGCCGGGCTAGGAGCATTGTTTACGGGGCAGGTTTTCTGTGCAGCGATATGCTGATGACCTTCTGGATGTGTTTGTATTCGGACCTGGTTATTACTGAGAAGACCTGAGTTTTCCAGGAAGGCTTGAGTTTTCCTGTGTTTTCTAGGAAGATGTGGACAAGGCAGTGAAGGCCGCCCGGGCCGCCTTCCAGCTGGGCTCACCTTGGCGCCGCATGGACGCATCACACAGGGGCCGGCTGCTGAACCGCCTGGCCGATCTGATCGAGCGGGACCGGACCTACCTGGCGGTGAGTCCTCAGCCCTTCTCCCCCTCAGATCCCATGTGGTGAATAGGCTCGCAGCATCCTGTGAACAGCCAGGAACCAAGCATCCTGTGAACAGCCAGGGAACACACATCTGACACGGGACTGATGGGAATGGCATAGGATGGACACCTTTAGGGGGCACCTCTGTACTAACCAGAGGAGCCTTTCAGTGTCTCCTTTGTTTTTTTGTTTTGTTTTGTTTTGCTTTTTTGAGATGGAGTCTCACTCTGTCGCCTAGGCTGGAGTGCAGTGGCGACATCTCGGCTCACTGCAACCTCCACCTCCTGGGTTCAAGTGATTCTCCTGCCTCAGCCTCCCAAGTAGCTGGAATTACAGGCACAAGCCACCACGCACAGCTAATTTGTGTATTTTTAGTAGAGACAAGGTTTCACCATGTTGGCCAGGCTGGTCTCCAACCCTTGGGCTCAAGTAATCCACCTGCCTCAGCCTCCCAAAGTGCTGGGATTACAGGCGTGAGCCACCGCACCTGGCCTTTGATGCGGCGGGTTTGGCTAAGCAAGAAGGATCTGGGGGAGGGGAGAGGAGCTGTGTCAGGGAGGCCTTCCCAGGAGAGAGACCCCTGGGAATGGACACCTCTCCCTCGGCCCCTCCATGGTGGGCCTTCTCCCTGGCTGCAAGAGGAGAAGAAACCAGGAGGCAATCTCCTCCCAGCCACAATTGATTCTGCACACAGAAGCCAGAGCAAACCTTCCAGAAGGCAGATTATACATGGCACTCTGCTCTTATCCCTGCATGGCATGCGGTGTCCTTAGGATAAAATCCTCAACATGGTCTGTAAGACCAGCCTGTAACATGGCAAGATCCTGTCTCTACAAAAAGTTAAAAAACTAGCTGAGTATGGTGGCATATGCCTGTAGTCCTAGCTACATGGTAGGCTGAGGCAGGAGGCTTGCTTGAGCCCAGGAGTTCAAGGCTGCAGTGAGCTGTTGTGGTGCCACTGCGCTCCAGCCTGGGCAACAGAGTCAGATCCTGTCTCAAAAAAAAAATGACCCAGCCTGTTCTAGTTCCATCATCTGAGTCATGCTGCACTGCAGTCCTCACATTCACATGTGCTCCTGAGCCTGGGCTCCCATGCTTGATGGCCAAGCCTCTTTGAGCATCAGCGCTTGCACCTGCCTGGGATGCTCTTCGCCCTGCTGCCATCTGTACCATCCCCTTTGCCCAGTTGCCCCCTACATATCATTCAGGTTCTAGCCTAAAGGGCTCATCTCTGGCTGATGTTTCTAGACAGGGCTGGGCAGCCTGGCTCCCTGCTTTCTATTTTTTAGCATTCTTTTATTATTATTATTATTTTTTGAGATGGAGTCTCACTCTTCACCCAGGCTGGAGTGCAATGGCACAATCTCGGCTCACTGCAACCTCTACCTCCCAAGTTCAAGCAATTCTCCTGCCTCAGCCTCCCCACTAGCTGGGATTACAGGTGTGCACCACCATGCCCAGCTAATTTTGTATTTTTGATAAAGTCAAGGTTTCACTGTTTTGGTCAGGCTGGTCTCGAACACCTGCCTCGGCCTCCCAAAGTGCTGGGATTATAGCTGCAAGTCACTACATCCGGCCTCTAGCACTCTTAACACATGTGACTGAGGACTTGTGTCATTATGCACAGTCTCTTTGCTCTGTAAGCTCCACGCTGGTCTCTATCCCAGCACCTGGATATGGTAGAGAGCAGAAGCTAAAAGAGTGTGTTTATGAAATCACTGAGTGAGAAATTGGTGGCTCATCCTGCCTGGCCCCCTTCCTCCTCCTCCCTGCCTTTGGAGAGACCATGGCAATAGTCCAGAGATGCTAGTGACATTTGGGGCACAAAGCGGACTCTCACCCTGGGCTTGCACCAGCCCTTCTCAGTCCCAGCCTTGGCGCCCTCTGTCAGCCCTTTGTTTTCCTCTCATTCCTGCACCCATGTCTCTGCTGACCTTGTTTTCTTCTCAGGCCTTGGAGACCCTGGACAATGGCAAGCCCTATGTCATCTCCTACCTGGTGGATTTGGACATGGTCCTCAAATGTCTCCGGTATGGGCTCAGCTTTCCTGTTCTTTGTTCTGGCAGGGGAAAAGGGGAGGCAACGTTGTTAGGAGGTAAAAATTAAATTACAAAAATTCAAAAGGGGCAGAGCGCGGTATCTCATGCCTATAATCCCAGCACTTTGGGAGGCTGAGCCAGGTGGATTACGTGAGGTCAAGAGTTTGAGACCAGCCTGGTCAACATGATGAAACCCCATCTCTACTAAAAATACAAAAATTAGCTGGGCATGGTGGCGCACACCTGTAATACCAGCTACTCAGGAGGCTAAGGTAGAAGAATCTCTTGATCCCTGGAAGTGGAGGTCACAGTGAGCCAAGATCACGCCACTGCACTCCAGCCTAGGTGACAGAGTGAGACTCTGTCTCAAAAACAAAAACAAAAAATGAATAAATTACAAAAATTCAAAAGGATCACAGGAGTCAGAGAAGGCTACTCTATTTAGACTCCAGCTCATGGGAAAATCCTTCAATATCACAAATTGTGATTAGTCATAAATGCTTTCTTTTGTTCTTGAGTCACTTTTGGTACTTTCTGTGTTATTTGGAACTTGTCCATTTTATCGAGGTTATCTAATTTGTTGGTGTACAATTGTTCACAGTATTCTCTTATAATCCTTTTTATCTCTGTAAGATCTGTAGTGTTGTCTTCATTTTCAGTTTTACTTATTTGGGTCTTCTCTCTGTTTCTTAGCCTAGCTAAAGGTTTGTCCATTTTGTAAATGTTTTCAAAGAACCAAACTTTTGGTTTTGTTGATTTTATTATTTTTCTATTCAAGAAAATATTGTCTTTTGTCTATCTCCGTTTCAGTCTTTATTTCCTTCCTTTTACTAGCTTTGGGTTTGGTTTAATCAAAAATGTTTGATTGATTGATTGATTGATTATTATTATTATTTTTTGAGATGGAGTCTCGCTCTGTTGCCCAGGCTGGAGTGCAGTGGTGCGATCTCAGCTCACTGCAAGCTCCGCCTCCCGGGTTCATGCCATTCTCCTGCCTCAGCCTCCTGAGTAGCTGGGACTACAGGCGCCCGCCACCATGCCCGGCTGATTTTTTGTATTTTTAGTGGAGATGGGGTTTCACCGTGTTAGCCAGGATGGTCTCAATCTCCTGACCTTGTGATCCACCCTCCTTGGCTTCCCAAAGTGCTGAGATTAGAGGCGTGAGCCACCACGCCTGGCGATTGATTGATAATTTTAATTTTTTTTTTTTGAGGCAGGGTCTCACTCTTGCCCAGGCTGGAGTGCAGTGGCACAATCATAGTTCACTGCAGTGTTGACCTTCTGGGCTCAAGCAATCTTCCCACTTCAGCCTCCTAAGTAGCTGGGACCACAGGCGTGCATCACCATGCCTGGATACTTTTTAAATTTTTTGTAGAGACGGGGGTCTTGCTATGTTGCCCAGGCTAGTTTTGGACTCCTGGGCTCAAGTGATCCTCCCACCTCGGCCTCCCAAAGTGCTGGGATTACAGGCATGAGTTACTATGCCCAGCAAACATAAACATTTCAATGACCAAGGAACAAGGGCTTTGTTAAAGCCCATGTGTTGGAGCTGCCAGAAATTCACTGAGGCCAGGCACAGTGGCTCACACCTGTAATCCTAGCACTTTGGGAGGCTGAGGCGGGTGGATCATTTGAGGTCAGAAGTCCAAGAGGAGCCTGGCCAACATGGTGAAACCCCATCTCTACTAAATATACAAAAATTAACCAGGCAGTAGTGGCGCATGCCTGTAATCTCAGCTACTCAGGAGGCTGAGGCACGAGAATCACTTGAACCCAGGAGGTGGAGGTTACAGTGAGCCGAGATCGTGCCATTGCACTCCAGTCTGGGTGACAGACTGAGGCTCCATCTCAACAAAAAAAAAAGGAAAGAAAGAAATTCACTGAGCCCAACTTAAACGATAGAGTCAAGAGGTCTCTAATGCAAAAGGCCATTGAGTCTCACTCACCTCCCTGCTTGCTTCATTCTCCTCAGCTACACTGGCTTTGAGGGCCAGTTTTTACATTGGGACCTGGTAGCCCACACCACCTGTTCTTGTACCTCCATGCCTGATTCCAGCCAGGCTAAGCTGTCATCTTTTAGTTGTAATGCCATATTCCTGAGGGAGGACCCTGAGTGGCTGGCCTTGGTTCTGGCCAGCTGTGGCCAAGGGTGGACAGATCATTTGTGTACATAATGGCTGCCTCCCTATGACATGTAAACAGAGGTGGTGGGGAGGAAGCAGTGCCAGAAGAGTAGAGGTTGGACAAGAAAACAGTTGGGCCGGGCGCAGTGGCTCACTCCCATAATCCCAGCAGTTTGGGAGGCCGAGCTGGGTGGATCACCTGAGGTCAGGAGTTCGAGACCAGCCTGGCCAACATGATGAAACCCCGTCTCTACTAAAAATACAAAACTTAGGCTGTGCGCGGTGGCTCATGCCTGTAATCCCAGCACTTTGGGAGGTCGCGGCGGGGGGATCACGAGGTCAGGAAATCGAGACCATCCTGGCTAACACGGTGAAACCCCATCTCTACTAAAAATATATATATATAAAAAATTAGCTGGGCTTGGTGGCAGGCGCCTATAGTCCCAGCTACTCAGGAGGCTGAGGCAGGAGAATGGTGTGAACCTGGGAGGTGGAGCTTGCAGTGAGCTGAGATCGCGCCACTGCACTCCAGCCTGGGCAACAGAGCGAGACTCTGTCTCAGAAAAAAAAATAAAAAATAAAAAAATTAAAACTTAGATGGGCGTCTTGGCAGGCATGCTACTTGGGAGTCTGAGGCAGGAGAACCGCTTGAACCTGGGAGGCGGAGGTTGCAGTGAGCTGAGATCGCGCCACTGCACTCCAGCCTGGGAGACAAGAGCGAGACTTCGTCTCAAAAAAAAGAAAAAAAAAAAGAAAACAGTCGGTATCCTTCACAACAGGTGCACACAGCCAGGGCAATCACGCCTCCCCGGGGACACTGGGCAATGTCCAGAGACATTTTTGGCAGCCTCGACTGCGAGGGGAAGGGTACTACTGGCATCTAGTGGATAGAGGTCAGAGATGCTGCTCAACATCGTACAATGCCCAGGACAGTCCCACAACAAAGAATTCTCCAGCCCCAGATGTCAGCAGTGCCAAGGCTGAAAAACTCCCTCTGCAAGGACACCCCAGAGAGAGCAGCCTGGTACATCTCAGTTGGGGCCACATGCTTTCCTGAATTTTGGCATTCTGCTTTTGTGCTGATGAAATAACTTCTGGGGCTTGCAAAACACATGTCATGTAGACTGTGTTTGTATAGATCTGGGGGAGGGAAGCTGCAATGCCTGGGCTTGCATAGATTGGCAACCCCCTAGCTAGCTTTCTTCCAGGGTCACAAACCCATGTTCAAACCCAGGTCACTAGCCAGGTGCTAATGGCTCGAGCCTGTAATCCCAGCACTTTGGGAGGCCAAGGCAGGAGGATCACTTGAGCTCAGGAGTTTGAGAGCAGCCTGGGCAATATAGGGAGACCCACATCTCTACAAAAAATTTAAAAACATTAGCCAGGCATGGTGACATGTGCCTGTAGTCTCAGCTACTCAGGAGGCTAAGGTGGGAGGATCACTTGAGCCCAGGAGGTCAAGGCTACAGTGAGTTATGATTGTGCCACTGTACTCCAGCCTGGGCAACTGAGCAAGACCCTGTTTCTTTCTTTCTTTTCTTTTTTTTTTTTTTTTTTGAGACAGAGTCTCGCTCTGTTGCCCAGGCTGGAGTACAGTGGCGTGATCTCGGCTCACTGCAACCTCCGCCTCCCAGGTTTAAGCCATTCTTCTGCCTCAGCCTCCCGAGGTGCTGGGATTACAGGCACCCGCCACCACGCCCAGCTAATTTTTTGTATTTTTAGTAGAGACGGGGTTTCACCACCTTGGCCAGGCTGGTCTCGAACTCCTGACCTCGTGATCTGCTCACCTAGGCCTCCCAAAGTGCTGGGATTACAAGTGTGAGCCACCACACCCAGCAAGACCCTGTTTCTTAAAAAAAACAAAGAAGGTCAGGCATGGTGGCAGGTGCCTGTAATCCCAGCTACTTGGGAGGCTGAGGTAGAGAATCGCTTGAACCTGGGGGGCCGAGGTTGCAGTGAGCCCAGATCACACCACTGCACTCCATCCTGGGAGACAGAGCGAGACGCTGTCTCAAAAAAAAAAAAAGAAAAGAAAAGAAAGAAAAAAAAAAAATCTAATTCCTGGGCATGAGCCCCAGAGAGTGGGATTGAGTAGATTGGAAATGGACTCCTGGGATCTGGTGTTTTTTACAAGAACCCCAGGCGATTCTGAGGCTTGGGGGTTAGCTACCTAGAGTAGATTTTCGTGACCTTTGCAGTCACTTGTCTCTCTCTGAATAAGCCAAAAGCAAAGACAGTTTTCAGAAAGACTCAGCTGGACCAGTTTGAGTCTTCTCTTTCTGCCAGGGTTTGCAGGGGTCCCTGACAATCATTGATTCGAGCTTGAACGTTTCTTTGTTTAAAGGTATTATGCCGGCTGGGCTGATAAGTACCACGGGAAAACCATCCCCATTGACGGAGACTTCTTCAGCTACACACGCCATGAACCTGTGGGGGTGTGCGGGCAGATCATTCCGGTGAGTCCAGCCTCCCTGGAGTTTCTTCAGGGTGCCCTGAGATTTGGCAGTCTGCCAGACTCATTGCAGAGGTTCTGGGGTGGTGTCGGAAGGCAGCCTGGGTGGCAGGTAAGAAGATGGGCTCTGACAAAGCCAATCCGGTTTGAGTCTCAGCACTGCCACTCGTGAATTCTGTAACCTTGGGCAAGTCACTTATCCCCCAAGCCTCAGTTTCCCCATCTGAAAAGTGGAAATGAACATAGTGCCTGTCTTAGGGAGGTAATTAGGGCTTAGCATGGTGTCACGGACATAAAAGCACGGATAAATGTGAGTCTGTCATCGTTGTGCACCGCCTGCCTCATCCATTCATCTTAAAACCACGATGGATGGAGTTAGGGGAGGACACGCAGGGTTCAGAGAACTCGGTGCTGCTTCTGCCCTCTGGGGTTGCCACCTTCTGCTACCCAGTGTAGTTCTCTGAGGAAGCTTGGATTTCGAGGGCTGCTGTTGTTTGTTGCAGTGGAATTTCCCGCTCCTGATGCAAGCATGGAAGCTGGGCCCAGCCTTGGCAACTGGAAACGTGGTTGTGATGAAGGTAGCTGAGCAGACACCCCTCACCGCCCTCTATGTGGCCAACCTGATCAAGGAGGTGCGTGGCTTATCCTGGTCTTAACCTCTAAATGCCCTTGTTGAGGCTTGTTCTAAAGGAGTTCTGAGAAGGGTCTCAGGGGTCCCTAAACAGGGAGGTGTGTTTGTGGAGCCCCCATCACCATGTGAACCAGAGTGGCTCCCTCTTAGCTTTTTTCCACATTGGACTTCACTGCAAGATCCCCTTTGAAGAATTAAAAATATTGCTCTAGGCCAGGCTTGGTGGCTCACGCCTGCAATCCCAGCACTTTGGGTGGCCAAAGCAGGAGGGTTGCTTGAGTTCAGGAGTTTGAGACCAGCCTGAGCAACATAGCAAGACCCCATCTCTACAAAAAATTAAAAATCAGCTGGGTGGCATGCACCTGTAGTCCCAACTACTTGGGAGGTTAAGGCAGGAGGATCACTTGAGCCCAGGAGTTTGAGGCTGCAGTGAGCTGTGATCACACCACTGCACTCCAGCCTGGGTGCCAGAGAGAGACTCGGTCTCAAAAAACAAACAAAAACCCACTGTTGTTCTAAGTGAATGCTGTCAGGGGAGGGGCAAAGACACAGGGAACCCCAGCGAACAGACTCCTTCTCCGTCCCATTTAGAATTCCCATGTAGTGCCCCATACAATTAGCTTCTGACCACATGTGTCCTTGGCAGACTGTCCCACCCTCTCTGAGAAAGGATGTGTCTTCCCCTGGTTGAGCCCTTCAGAATAGGAGGGTGACTCCCAATGTCCCCTGGCTGTTTGCTCACAGGCTGGCTTTCCCCCTGGTGTGGTCAACATTGTGCCTGGATTTGGCCCCACGGCTGGGGCCGCCATTGCCTCCCATGAGGATGTGGACAAAGTGGCATTCACAGGCTCCACTGAGGTAAGGTGACCCTGGCCTCAAGCTTGCAGCCTCCTTGGCCCAAGCTCCCCCTGTCCTCAGTGGACGACATGCTCAAGGTGAGCTCCCGGGTGTCAAGCGGAGGCCTTTTCCTCCAGGACGACCCTGTAGGTACCAGGAGGGGTGGGGCAGGGTTGAGCCCTTCGTGGTCTGGTTGCCACACTAGCTGCCCTTGGGAGGGGCCAGTGTCCCATGTGGACTAAGGAGGCCAGGCCTGGCCAGACTCCACATAGCCCAGAGCTGACCGCTTGCCCCAAATCAAAGCATCTTGGCCAGGTCAGACTCCTTGACCAGGACTGCCATTGTGGTTAAAAATTAGCCTTGTGTGGTGGTGTGTGCGTGTGGCCCCAGCTACTTGGAAGGCCGAGGCAGGAGGGTTGCCAGAGCCTGAGAGGTCAAGGCTGCAGTGAGCTGAGATCACGCCACTGCACTCCAGCCTAGGTGACAGAGCGAGACCCTGTCCAAAAGAAAAAAAAAGTGAACGTCTATTTGGTGAAATTCTCTAGGTCTCTCGTGGTCCAGTTGCTCACTCAAGCTGTGGGGGACTCTGTTCTGTGTCTATAGAGTGCTGGACTCTTTTCTCCCGGCACTGAGAGCTTGTTCCTGTCTTTCTGTCCCCACAGATTGGCCGCGTAATCCAGGTTGCTGCTGGGAGCAGCAACCTCAAGAGAGTGACCTTGGAGCTGGGGGGGAAGAGCCCCAACATCATCATGTCAGATGCCGATAGTGAGTTTCCAGCTGGAGAAGGCCTGGCCTTGAAGGTAGCCCTGGCCACCTGTGTTGTGGCTCCAGCCGATCCTGTCGCCCCCCCAGTGCCCAATGGCGTTGGTTGCTGTCCCTCGGGCCTCAGGATAAGACGCCAGCGCAGGGCCTGCATGGCCTGGCCTTGGCCTGTCCCCAGCCTCTCCCTGGCTGCTCTCTGCATCATCAGGCTAGGCCACGCCCCTGCTATCTGACTCATCCACTTGCCGCCATCACGCCCTTTGTCCTGGTTGGCAGTGGGCTCCGAGAGCACCCCTCATCTCCCTGTATCTGTCTCTGGCACCCAGCAGGCATCAACCCTTACAGTGGTGGGAACAGGCTCCATTGGGCAGGCGGCCACCAGGGCCAGGGTCCTCCTCCTCACTGTCACCTTTCTGTCTCCTGCCCACTTCCCGCAGTGGATTGGGCCGTGGAACAGGCCCACTTCGCCCTGTTCTTCAACCAGGGCCAGTGCTGCTGTGCCGGCTCCCGGACCTTCGTGCAGGAGGACATCTATGATGAGTTTGTGGAGCGGAGCGTTGCCCGGGCCAAGTCTCGGGTGGTCGGGAACCCCTTTGATAGCAAGACCGAGCAGGGGCCGCAGGTGAGCCAGGCAGTGCCGCAGGGTCTGGGTGTCTAGAGCCAGCATGAGAAGCAGAGAGGGCATCGGGCTCAGATCAGTTGGGACTGGGTTCAGGTCTCAGCTCTACCACACAGCAGCTGTGTGCCTTTGGGAAGCTATGTTCCCTCCCTCAGCCTTCATTTCCCCATCCCGAGCCGTGCCCTGCCTCATTCACAGGGTGGCTGTGATGTAGAAATTAATCCTGGGAAGCACTTTGTAAATTGCATATATGTAACAAATACCAGGAGTGTCTGCAAAAGGGAGTGTGTGTTTCCAAGACCTTGGTCATCAGTAGAAGTGTATCCACCAGAAGATACACAGCTCTGTGAACCTTCGTGTCTGAGAGCCATGGTATGGCTAGTATAGGGACTTTATTTCACTTCATGTTTTGAGCTGTTTGATTTTATTTATTTATTTATTTACCTATTTATATTTTAGAGACAAGGTCTCTCTTTGTTGCCCAGGCTGGAGTGTAGTGGTGCAATCATACCTCACCTCAGCCTTGAATTCCTGGGCTCAAGGAGTCCTCCTGCTTTGGCCTCTCAAAGTGCTGGGATTACAGACATGAACCACCACACCTGGCCTGGATTTTACTTTTGAGCAGTTGTAGGTTTATAGAAAAATAGAGCTGAACGTACAGAGGGTGCCCATATATTCCTTCGCACCTCCCTGTTCCACCAGTTTCCCCTTTATTCACATCCTGCATGAGTGTGGTTCATCTGTTAGTATTGATGAGCCAATACTGGTACCTTATTATTCACTTAGGTCTGTAGTGTATATTCGGGTTTTTTTTTTTAATTTTTATTTTTTTTGGAGACAGAGTTTTGTTCTGTCACCCAGGCTGCAGTGCAGTGGCACGATCTCGACTCATGCCTCCCGGGTTCAAGCAATTCTTGTGCCTCAGCCTCCTGAGTAGCTGGGACTACAGGTGCGCACCACCACGCCTGGCTAATTTTTTGTGTTTTAGTAGAGACAGGGTTTCACTCTGTTGCCCAGGCTGGTCTCGAACTCCTGAGCTCGGGCAATCTGCTGTCAGGCACCCAGCCTCGGGGTCATTTTTTGTGTTGTACTTACTATGGGCCTAGACAAATGTATCATAATGTGTATGATACCATCATTCTAGTATCATATAAATATATTTGTGCCCTGAAACCCCCGTCCTCCACCTATTCTTCCCTCTTTTCCTCCCCTGAGCCCTGGCAGGCAACCACTGATTTTTTTTTTTTTTTTTTTTTTTGAGACAGAGTCTCGCTCCGTCACCAGGCTGGAGTGCAGTGGCGTGATCTCGGCTCACTGCAACCTGTACCTCCTGGGTTCAAGTGATTCTCCTGCCCCAGCCTCCTGAGTAGCTGGGACTTACAGGTGCATGCCACCATGCCCAGCTAATTTTTGTATTTTTAGTAGAGACAGGGTTTCACCACGTTGGCCAGGATGGTCTCGATCTCCTGACCTCGTGATCCACCCACCTCAGCCTTCCAAAGTGCTGGGATTACAGGCGTGAGCCATTGTGCCTGGCCGATCTTTTTATTGTCTCTATAGTTTTGCCTTTTCCAGATTGTCTTATACGAATCATACAGTAGGTAGCCTTCTCAGACTGGCTTCTTTCTTTTAGCAGTTTGCATTTCTGATTCCTCAGTGGGGAGCCACAGCCATGTCTGAGGATGGACTGGCCTTGCCATGGGACAGGGTTATGTGCCCAACATCCCCCTCTTTGATTTTTTTTAGAGACAGGGTCTTGTTCTGTTGCCCAGGCTGGAATGCAGTGGTGTGATCATGGCTCACTGCAGGCTTAACCTCCTGGCCTCAAGTGATCCTCCTGCTTCAGCCTCCCAAGTAGGTGGGACTACAGGCACACGTCACCACACCTGGCTAATATTCATATTTTTTATAGAGATGAGGTCTTGCTATGTTACCCAGGCTGGTCTTGAATTGCTGGGCTCAAGCAATCCTCCCACCTCAGCCTCCCAAAGTCCTGGGATTGCAGGTGTGAGCCACTGTGCCTGGCCTCCAACATCTCTATCTTTAATAGCTTTATTGAGATATAATTCACGTAGCATAAAATGCACCATTTTAGTGTACGATTCAGTGATTTTTAGTATATTCACAACTTTGTGCAACCATCACCACTAATTCTATAATATTGTCATTGCCTCCCCTAAATATCCTGTACCCATTAGCAGTCACTCCCCATTCCTCCCCCTACCAGGCCCAGGCAACCACCAATCTATGTTCTGCCTATAGATTTATCTATTTTGGACATTTTATGCAAATGGAATCCTACATGGTTCTTTGTGTCTGGCTTCTTCCAAGTAGCCATGTTTTAAAGGTTCATCCATGTTGTAATAAGAATGTATCAGAACATAAAAGGCCAAGTAATATTCCATTGTGTGAATAGACCACATTTTGATTTTTCTATTAATCTGTTGACAGACTTGATTGTTTCCACCTTTTGGTTACTGTGAATAGTGCAGCTAGGGGCACTAACATTTCTTTCTTTCTTTTGAGACCGTCTCGCTCTGTCACCCAGGCTGGAGTGCAGTGGCATCATCTCAGCTCACTGCAACCTCCACCTCCTAGGTTCAAACAATTCTCCTGTCTCAGCCTCCTGAGTAGGTGGGACTACAAGTGCACGCCACCACGCCCTGCTAATTTTTGTATTTTTAGTAGAGACAGGGTTTCACCAAGATGGTCAGGCTGGTCTTGAACTCCTGACCTCAGGTGATCCACCTGCCTCAGCCTCCCAAAGTGCTGAGATTACAGGTGTGAGCCACCGCACCTGTCCTAACATTTCTTTTCTTTTTTTTTTTTTTGAGACAGAGTCTTGCTCTGTCTCCAGGCTGGAGTACAGTGGCACGATCTCGGCTCACTGCAACCTCCGTCTCCCAGGTTTGAATGATTCTCCTGCCTCAGTCTCCCGAGTAGCTGAGATTACAGGCGCCCACCACCATGCCCAGCTAATTTTTTGTATCTTTAGTAGAGACAGGGTTTCACCATGTTGGCCAGGCTGGTCTTGAACTCCTGACCTTGTGATCCGCCCACCTCAGCTTCCCAAAGTGCTGAGATTACAGGCTTGAGCCACTGCACCCGTCCTAACATTTCTTTTTGTCTCATTTCTCTTTGTGGCTAATTATTAAGATAATATAAACTTGCATTAATAAATTTAATGAGAAAGTGTTTAGGCTATGTGTGGCAGCTCACATCTGTAACCCCAACACTTTGGGAGGCTGAGGCAGGAGAATCTCTTGAGCCCAGGATTTCGAGATCAGCCTGGGCACTACAGCAAGACCTCATCTCTACTAAAAAAAAAAAAATGCAAATCATGACCAGCCTGGCCAACACGGTGAAACCTCATCTCTACTAAAAATACAAAAACTATTTGGGCGTGGTGGTGGGCGCCTATAATCCCAGCTACTCGGGAGGCTGAGGCAGGAGAATCACTTGAACCCGGGAGGCGCAGGTTGTGGTGAGCCAAAATCGTGCCACCGCACTCCAGCCTGGGTGACAGAGTGAGACTCCACCTCAAAAAATAAATAATTTTTTTTTTAAAAAAAAGCAAAAAAAAATTAGCCAGATGTAGTGATGCGTGCCTATACTCTCAGCTACTTGGGAGGCTGAGGTGGGAGCCCAGGAGGTCAAGGCTGCAGTGAGCAGTGATCACACCACTGCACTGCTGCCTGAGTGGCAGAGTGAGGCCCTGACTCTTTTTAAAAAAAGGTATTTAATGTAAAAAATAAGACTTTGTTGCATTTCTTTTATTCTCCATTGGTAACCACTCATGCACACACAGTTATGCTGTTGTATGTTTATTTTTTAAAAAATAGGCTGGGTGTGGTGGCTAACCCCTGTAGTCCTAACACTTGGGAGGGAGGCCAAGGTGAGTCAATTACTTGAGCCCAGGAGTTAGATACTAGCCTGGGCAACATAGCAAAACCCCATCCCTACTAAAAATATAAAAATTACCCAGGTGTGGTGGCACACACCTGTGGTCCAGCTACTCGGGAGACTGAGATGAGAAGATACCTGAGCTCAGGGAGATTGAAGTTGCAGTGAGCCGTGATTGTGCCACTGCTCTTCAGACTGGGCAATAGAGTGAGACCCTGTCGCCCTTCTCCCCTACCCTATAAAGGAGTATATAAGTGCATATTGTTCTACAAGCTTTACTTCTTTTTTTTTTTTTTTTTGAGACGAAGTCTCTGTTGCCAGAGCTGGAGTGCAATAGCGCGATCTTGGCTTACTGCAATCTCCACCTCCCTGGTTCAAGCGATTCTCCTGCCTCAGCATGTGCCACCATGCCCAGCTAATTTTTGTATTTTTAGTAGAGACGGGGTTTCACTATGTTGGCCAGGCTAGTCTTGAACTCCTGACCTCATGATCTGCCTGCCTCGTCCTCCCAAAGTGCCGAGATTACAGGCGTGAGCCACTGCCCCTGGCCCAAGCTTTCCTTCTTTTTACAGAGTATCTTGGGCCATCTTTCTGTGTCAGTTAGTTCACAGATCTATTAGTGATGACAATATACTGGATGCACCGTAATAATTTTAACCAACCCCTCTACTGATTTATACTTAGAATTGTTTCCATCTTTTGCCTTTACAAAATGCTCCCCCAGCCTGGGCTACAAGGCAAAACCCTGTCTCTACTAAAAATACAAAAATTAGCCCAGCGTAGGGGTGCATGCCTATAGTCCCAGCTACTCGGGAGGCTGAGGTGGGAGGATCATTTGAGCATGAGAGGCAGAGGTTACAGTGAGTGGAGATCGCACCACTGCACTCCAGCCTGGGTGACAGAGTGAGACCCCATCTCAAAAACAAAAATACAAAAAAAAAAAAATACTCCCTAGTGAATATCCTTGTTCATTTCTCTTTGTGCATATGTAGAATAAATTCCTAGAAGTTAAATAGCTGGGCCAAAGGATCTGAGTATATAATTTTTGAGCAATATTAATAAACCACTTGCTCTAAAGGCTGTACCAGTCTGTCATCCTTCTAACAGTATATGTAACGGTCTCTTGCTATCAGTGTATTTTCTTCCTAAACTTTTTGGTAATCTTATAGTTGAAAAGTAAAGATTGATTTGATGTCCTTTTCTCCGGTAGGCTGAGGAAGTTGGGCCTTTTTTGTGTTTTCTGCTATTGGCCCTGTGTGTTTCCTCTTCTGATCTTGCTTTCTTATGACCTTGGTCCATTTCCCAGTTGTCTTGTTGCCTGCATAATTCTAAGCCTGAAGCCTAGGAGAGGTCTGAATCCGATGTCTCCATAACTCTGGGTTCCTTCTCCCACAGGTGGATGAAACTCAGTTTAAGAAGATCCTCGGCTACATCAACACGGGGAAGCAAGAGGGGGCGAAGCTGCTGTGTGGTGGGGGCATTGCTGCTGACCGTGGTTACTTCATCCAGCCCACTGTGTTTGGAGATGTGCAGGATGGCATGACCATCGCCAAGGAGGAGGTGAGCACTTGGGGCCAGTGCTCTGGAAACATTCTTGGCGGGAGGTGAGGTAAACAGTTCAGCCTGGCATCCTGATGCTGTCACCCATCTGCTGGCTTGGGGCCAGATCTCAAGTTATACCCAGAACCAGTGCCCATAACACGCTATTCATAGTATGTATCTGATCTTGTCCCTCCTCTTCAGCTTGTACCCTCTGTCTGGGAGATCGTCTGCATTCCTCAGCATGGCCTGCAGGCCTTGGTGTCCTGGCCCTCAGAGCCAGGAGTCTAGGAATGACATTGTCTGCTCCTTCCCATGACCTTTTTTCTTTCAGTCAGATTCTTGCTCTGTTGCCCAGGCTGGAGTGCAGTGGCATAATCATGGCTCCTTATAGCCTTGAACTCTTGGGCTCAAATGATCCTCCCACCTCAGCCTTCTGAGTAGCTGGGACTACAGGTGCTCACCACCATGCCTGGCTAATTTTAAAAAAATTTTTTAGTACAGGCTGGGTGCAGTTGCTCACGCCTGTAATCCCAACACTTTGGGAGGCCGAAGTGGGTGGATCACCTGAGGTCATGAGTTCGAGACCAGCCTGGCCAACATGGCAAAACCCTGTCTGTATTAAAAATAAGAAAAAATTAGCCCTGCGTGGTGGCGCTTGCTTGAAATCCCAGCTACTCTGGAGGCTGAGGCAGGAGAATCGCTTGAACCTGGGAGGCAGAGGTTTCAGTGAGCCGAGATCGCGCCACTGCACTCCAGCCTAGGCAACAGAGCGGGACTCTGTCTCCAGTTTTAGCCACGCCTGGCTAATTTTTGTATTTTTAGTAAAGACAGGGTTTCACCATGTTGATCAGACTAGTCTCGAACTCCTGACTTCGTGATCTGCCTGCCTCGGCCTCCCAAAGTGCTGGGATTACAGGCATGAGCCACCACGCCCGGCTTATTTTTTCTCTTCTCGTTTTGAGATGGAGTCTCACTCTGTCGCCAGGCTGGAGTGCAGTGGTGCAATCTCAGCTCACTGCAACCTCTGCCTCCCGGGTTCAAGCGATTCTCCTGCCTCAGACCCTACTAGTAGCTGGGATTACAGGCGCACACCACCACGCCCAGCTAATTTTTCTTATTTTCAGTAGAGATGGGGTTTCACCATGTTGGCCAGGCTTGTCTCCAACTCCTGACCTCAGGTGATCCACCTGCCTCAGCCTCCCAAAATGCTGGGATTACAGGTGTGAGCCATCGTGCCTGGCCAAAAATTTTTTTTTTTTTTTTGAGTAAAGACAGGGTCTCTCTGTGTTTGCCAGGCTGGACTCGAACTCCTAGACTCAAGCAGTTCTCCCACCTTGGCCTCCCAAAGTGCTGGGATTACAGGCATGAGCCACAATGCCCAGCTGACTTAAATTCTTTGACACTAAATCTACGTGTCACGTGTGAATAACATACCTGGCAGGATTGTTTAGAAATGGGATACTGTATGTAAAGCCCGGGGCGCACAGGAGGAAGTTGGCCCCTGTTAGCTCCATTCCCTCTGTGTTCTGCTGAGCTTGATGGCTGTTGTCTTCCCCTGGAACTGTTAGAGCATGGCTGGGGGCTTATCCCCCAATCTGGAATCATCTGTTCTGCTCTGAGAGAGCTCGATGGCAGGTGCCTCCGTGTTGCCGAACCCTCCTACGCTGCTCTCTCACTCCAGATCTTCGGGCCAGTGATGCAGATCCTGAAGTTCAAGACCATAGAGGAGGTTGTTGGGAGAGCCAACAATTCCACGTACGGGCTGGCCGCAGCTGTCTTCACAAAGGATTTGGACAAGGCCAATTACCTGTCCCAGGCCCTCCAGGCGGGCACTGTGTGGTAAGAGCCTCCCAGCAGCCCCTCACAACCCAACAGAGATTCCTCAAAGCCAGGGCCTACTGGAATCTGGTGGTCACCATCCTGGAATTTGGGGAGCTGGGCTCAGTTTCTCCTGGGTCAGGGTGTGATGTCGATTTGAGAGGTCCTGCTACCTCACCTCCGAAGGATCAAGCTTCTCTGTGGTGCAAAGGCCCTGCACCTGAACTTGGCAGGCAGCGGAGTGGTGGGGCTCCTCCCCAGCTGCCTCAGGGCAGGAGACCAGAGCAGAGGGACCCATGATTGTGACACTGATCCTAAAAGCTTAGCCTCTGCTTCACACTTAGCCCCCACTAGGATGGCTATATTTTTATTATTTATTTATTTTTAGTTTTATTTTTTCAGACAGAAAAAAATATTCTACCCAGGCTGAAGTGCTGTGGGGTGCGATTATAGCTCACTGCAGCCTTGAACTCCTGGGCTCAAGCAATCCTCCCACCTCTGCCTCCTGAGTAGCTGGGACCACAGGTGTGTACCACCACACCTGGACAATTAAAAAACATTTTTATTTTTTGTAGAGATGAGATCTCGCCATGTTGCCCAGGCTGGGCTATATGTATATATATTTTAAAGTATTGGTAAGGATGTGGAGAAATCGGAACCCTCCTATGTTGCTGATGGGAATGGAAAATGGCACACTCATTGTGGAAAATAATTTGGGAGCTCCTCAAAAAGTTAAACATGAAGCCCCCATATGACCCAGCAATTCCACTCCTAGGTATTTATCCAAGAGAAAGAAAAACGTGCTCCCACATAAAAACGTGTATATGAATCTTCACAGCAGCATTATTTGTAACAGCCAAAAGGTGAACACAACCCAAATGTCCGTCTGTAGATGAATGGATACAGAATGTGATCTGTCCATGCAATGAAATGTGGCTCAGCCACAGAAAGGAATGAAGTAGCTGTATGAGTCTGTTCTCACACTGCTGGTAAAGACATTGCAGAGACCGGGTAATTTATAAAGGAAAGAGGTTTAATGGACTCACACAGTTCCACGTGGCTGGGGAGGCCTCACAATCATGGTGAAAGGTGAAAAGCATGTCTCACGTGGTGGCAGACAAGAGAAGAGAACTTGTGCAGGGAAACTCCCCTTTATAAAACCATCAGATCTTGTGAGACTTACTCACTGTCACAAGAATAGCATGGGAAAGACCTGGCCCCATGATTCAATTACCTCCCACAACACGTGGGAATTGTGGGAGCTACAATTCAAGATGAGATTTGGGTGGGGACAAAGCCAAGCCATATCAGTAGCCATGCATGCAATAGCATGGATTAATCTTGAACATAACATTGAGTGAAAGAACCCAGACTGTCTGGGTGCGGTGGCTCATGCCTGTAATCCCAGCACTTTGGGAAGCCGAGGTGGGTAGGTCACTTGAGGTCAAGAGTTTGAGACCAGCCTGGCCAACATGGTGAAACCTTATCTCTACTAAAAACACAAAACTTAGCTGGCTGTGGTGGCAGGTGCCTGTAGTCCCAGCTACTCGGGAGGCTGAGGCAGGAGAATCGCTTGAACCTGGGAGGCGGAGATTGCAGTGAGTGGAGATCATGCCACTGCGCTCCAGCCTGAGCGATAGAGTGAGACTCCAAAAAAAAAAAAAAAGAACCCAGGCACAAAAGGCCACATGCTGTGTGATTCCATTTACAGTATTATAAATATCTAGAATAGGCGAATCCATAGAGATAGAAAGTATGTTAGTGGTTGCCAGGGGCTGGGGGAGGGAGGAATGGAGAGTGCCTGCCTCCTGGGCACAGGGCTTCTTTCAGTGTGATAGAAATGTTCTGCAATTAGACAGTGGTGATGGTCACACAACACTGTGAATATGCTGTCAACCAGTGATTGTACACTTTAAAATGGTGAATTTTAGGCTGGGTGCAGTGGCTCACCCCTGTAATCCCAGCACTTTGGGAGGCCAAGGTAGACGGATCACGAGATCAGGAGATGGAGACCATCTTGGCCAATGTGGTGAAACCCCGTCTCTACTAAAAATACAAAAATTAGGCCTGGGCCTGGTGGCTCACACCTGTAAGGCCGTGGTGGTTCACACCTGTAATCCCAGCACTTTGGGAGTCCGAAGTAGGTGGAACATGATGTCAGGAGTTCAAGACCAGCCTGACCAACATGGTGAAACCCTGTTTCTACTAAAAATACACAAATTAGACGGGTGTGGTGGCATGCACCTGTAATCCCAGCTACTTGGGAGGATGAGGCAGGAGAATCGCTTGAACCCGGGAGGCAGAGGTTACAGTGAGTTGAGATCGTGCCATTGCACTCCAGCCTGGGTGACAGAGCAAGACTCTGTCTCAAAAAAAAAAAAAAAAAAAATTAGCCGGGCGCAGTGGTGGGCACCTGTAATCCCAGCTACTCAGGAGGCTGAGGCAGGAGAATCACTTGAACTTTAGAGGCAGAAGTTGCAGTGAGCCGAGATCGCACCACTGCACTCCAGCTTGGCAACAGAGTGAGACTCTGTCTCAAAAAAAGAAAAGAAAAAGGGCAGGGCGCTGTGGTTCACACCTGTAATCCCAGCACTTTGGGAGGCCAAGGCGGGCGGATCACGAGGTCAGAAGATCAAGACCATCCTGGCTAACACAGTGAAACCCCGTTTCTACTAAAAATACAAAAATTTAGCCGGGTGTGGTGGCGGGCACCTGTAGTCCCAGCTACTCGGGAGGCTGAGGCAGGAGAATGGCGTGAACCTGGGAGGCGGAGCTTGCGGTGAGCCGAGATCGCACCACTGCACTCCAGCCAGGGCGACGGAGCGAGACTCTGTCTCAAAAAAAAAAAAAAAAAGAAAATTAAAAATAGGCCAAGCGTGGTGGCTCACACCTGTAATCCCAGCATTTTGGGAGGCCAAGGCAGGCATATCACGAAGTCAAGAGTTTGAGACCAGCCTGACCAACATGGTGAAACCCTGTCTCTACTAAAAATAGAAAAATTAGCTGGGCATGGTAGCATGCACCTGTAATCCCAGCTACTCGGGAGGCTGGAGATTCGCTTGAACCTGGGAGGCGGAGGTTGCAGTAAGCTGAGATCTCACCACTGCACTCCAGCCTGGGCAACAGAGTGAAACTCCATCTCAAAAAATAATCTCAAAAAATAATAATAATAAATAAAAATAAATAAATAAATGGTAAATTTCAAATTCAAATAAAATTTAATAATTTTTTTAAATTGCAAAAAAAAAAAATGAAAGAAAAGAAAAGAAAGCCATCCAGGTGCAGTGGCTCATACCAGTAATCCCAGTGCTTTGGGAGCCTGAGGCAGGAGAATTACTTGAGGCCAGGAGTTCGAGACCAGCCTGGGCAACATAGTGAGACCCCATCTCTACAAAAAATAAAAGATAAAAAAATTAGCCAGGCATAGTGGCACATACTTGTTATCTTAACTACTTGGGAGGCTGAGGCAGGAGGATCACTGAAGACCAGGAGTTGGAGACCAGCCTGGGTAACATAATCAGACCCTGTCTCTTAAAAAAAAATTTATTGCCAGGCGTGGTTGCACGTGCTGGTAGTCCAGCTACTCAGGAAGCTGAGGCAGGAGAATCTCTTGAACCCCAGATGTGGAGGTTGCAACGAGCCAAGATCATGCCATGGCAACTCCAGCCTGGGCAACAGAGAAAGATTCTATCTCAAAAAAAAAAATTTTTTTTTAAGTTAAAAATAAAATAAAGACTTTGGGGCAATACAGGGGGTCCTGGGAGTGTAACCCATAACCCCCAAGAGTGATTTCTGCAATCTCGTTTCAAATTACAGGGTCAACTGCTATGATGTGTTTGGAGCCCAGTCACCCTTTGGTGGCTACAAGATGTCGGGGAGTGGCCGGGAGTTGGGCGAGTACGGGCTGCAGGCATACACTGAAGTGAAAACTGTGAGTGTGGGACCTGCTGGGGGCTCAGGGCCTGTTGGGGCTTGAGGGTCTGCTGGTGGCTCGGAGCCTGCTGGGGGATTGGGGTCTGTTGGGGGCTCGGGGCCTGCCAGAGGTTCAGGACCTGCCGGGGACTCAGGGCCTGCTGGAAGTTCAGGACCTGCTGGGGATCAGGGCCTGCCAGGGATTTAGGGTCTGCTGGGCGGGCCACCTTTTGGCCTCTCCCTCATGCTTGAGGCCATCAGTGTTTCCTACTAATTTCCCATTTTAAGCCTGAGAAGTGACAAGAGAGGGTAAAGACCCAGCCTCTGCTCTGTCCCATGAGAAATACTGAGGGACGTGCCCCCATCAGGCCTATGCGGTCATTTGCTGGGCTTCGTTATACGCCAAGGCCTGTAGGCCTGAGAAGAGGGAGAGACTTCAGGGGGCGGAGCGGAGAGGAAAAGCTTCTAGTAAGAATCTTTTCAGATTTTCACCAGGCGCGGTGGCTTTTCACCGGGCACGGTGGCTCACACCTGTAATCCCAGCACTTTGGGAGGCCAAGGTGGGTGGATCACGAATGAGGTCAGGAGTTTGAGACCAGCCTGACCAACATGGTGAAACCTTGTCTCTACTAAAATACAAAAATTAGCCAGGTGTGGTGGCGTGCGCCTGTAATCCCAGCTACTCAGGAGGCTGAGGCAGGAGAATCGCTTGAACACGGGAGGCGGAGGTTGCAGTGAGTCGAGATTGTGCCATTGCACTCCAGCCTGGGCAACAGAGCGAGACTCCGTCTCAAAAAAAAAAAAAAAAGAAAAGAAAAAAGAATTAGCTATTAGGTTGGAATGGAGCAATTCCCACAGTAATAAAAATATTTAAAAATAAATAATACAAACATAAGCTATTAGGCATGAGATATCAAGGCCCATAACCATATGCATCTCCTTTGATTTGCAACTTCAATGACTGGAATATAGCCTGAAGGACCCATCAGAAATACAAAGAAAGCGTTCCTTCCATAAATATTCATCACTGCTTTATCTCTAAGAGGGGAAAATCAGATGTAAACTTAATGCCCAATAAATTATGGAACACCCCAATCAAGGAGTAACAGGTATCTGTTACAAATGTTTTTGTAGAATATTTGATATGAAAAATGCTTAGCCTTTAAAGTAAAAGCAGTATACAAACTAATATATCATCAATATAAGCCCAATTTTTGGAATTTATGTACATAGATAGATACTCAGATACATTTACTTATAAATATAAAAAAAGAAAGGAAAAACTGGAGCGTGGTGTTGCATGCCTGTAGTCCCAGCTACTCGGGAGGCCAAGGTGGGAGGATCGCTTGAGCCACAAGTTTGAAGCTAGCCTGGAAAATGGGTTGAGCAGGCCTTTCCAGGATTGGAATCACCAGGCTGGAGTGTACTGGTGCCATCACAGCTCACTGCAGCCTCCACCTCCTGGGCTGAAGTGATCCTCGCATCTCAGTCTCCCGAGTAGCTGGGACTACAGGTGCACATCACCATTCCTGACTAATTTTTGTATTTCTTGTAGAGATGGGGTCTCACTATGTTACCCAGGCTGGTCTCAATCTCCTGGGCTCAAGTGATTCTCCTGCCTTGGTCCCAAAGTGCTGGGATTATAGGCATGAGCTACCACACCCAGCCTGGCTCTCAGTTTTGTAAGTCGAAAAACTTGGACAGGCCAAATTGAAGAGTCATGTTCGCCAATTTCATAAGCGATTAATTTGGCAATGTAGCAAGATACCATCTTATTAAAAACAAAATGGCCGGGCGCGGTGGCTCACGCGTATAATCCCAGCACTTCTGGAGGCTGAGGTGGGTGGATCACAAGGTCAAGAGATCGAGACCATCCTGGCCAAGATAGTGAAACCCTGTCTCTACTAAAAATACAAAAATTAGCTGGGCGTGGCGGCACATGCCTGTAGTCCCAGCTACTTGGGAGGCTGAGGCAGGAGAATTGCTTGAACCCGGGAGGTGGAGGTTGCAGTGAGCCAAGATTGCACCACTGCACTCCAGCCTGGCGACAGAGTGAGACTCAAAAAAAAAAAAAACAGGCCGGGCGCAGTGGCTCACACCTGTAATCCTAGCACTTTTGGAGGTTGAGGTGGGCAGACCACGAGGTCAGGAGATCGAGACCATCCTGGCTAACATGGTGAAACCTCGTCTCTACTAAAAATACAAAAACAAAATTAGCTAGGTGTGGTGGCAGGTGCCTGTAGTCCCAGCTACTCAGGAGGCTGAGGCGGAAGAATGGCGTGAACCCAGTGGGTGGAGCTTGCAGTGAGCCAAGATCGCACCACTGCACTCCAGCCTGGGCGACAGAGCGAGACTCCGTCTCAGGAAAAAAAAAAAAAGAAAAAACAAACAAACAGGGAAATATACACTGAAGTGAAAATGATTTACTGTGAATACTAATTATAGTTTAACCAGAAAACATAAACACAAGTGATGTTTAAGGAAGAGGCAAATGGGTTGAGCTAGCCTTTCCAGGATTGGAAAAGAGGAGGCTCAGGGCAAGCCTGCCAGCTGTGGAGCAGGTGAGAAAAGGCAAACGGGACTCATTCAGGGCCACAGTGCCAAGCCTGAGACTGGAGAGGCCGAGGACACAACCTGTGTTCCTGAATAGCTCACTGGAATCAACTAAACGTGTTTACTTGTTTAGTGTGGAAACTTTCCAATCTATGCAAAGAATAGGTATAATGGTAGAATGAGGCCAGGAGTGGTGGCTCATGCCTGTAATCCCAGCATTTTGGGAGGCCGAGATGGGCAGATCACTTGAGGTCAGGAGTTCGAGACCAGCCTGGTCAACATGGTGAAACCCCATCTCTACTAAAAATGCAAAAATTGGCCAGGCTGGTGGCATGTGTCTGTGGTCCCAGCTGCTTGGGAGGCTGAGACAAGAGTTGCCTGAACCCGGGAGGTGGAGGTTGCAGTGAGCTGAGATCGCGCCACTGTACTCCAGCCTGGGCAACAGAGCAAGACTCTGTCTCAAAAAACAAACAAACAGACCGGGCATGGTGGCTCACGCCTGTAATCCCAGCACTTTGGGAGGCCGAGGTGGGCGAATCACAAGGTCAGAAGATCCAGACCATCCTGGCTACGGTGAAACCCCATCTCTACTAAAAATACAAAAAATTAGCCAGGCGTGGTGGCGAGTGCCTGTAATCCCAGCTACTTGGGAGGCTGAGGCAGGAGAATGGTGTGAACTCGGGAGGCGGAGCTTGCAGTGAGCCGAGATGGTGCCACTGCACTCCAGCGTGGGAGACAGAGCGAGACTCTGTCTCAAAAACAAAACAAAACAAAACGGAAAAAAAAAAACAGTAGAATGAGCCTCTGTATCCCCACCATAAAGCTATGACAAAGATCAGCTCACAGCCAGTCTTGTTTACTGTATACCCCACCCACTTCCCAGTGGGTACACTTCATCCACTGCCCGAGCAGAGTCCACAACAGCAGGAGGTGGCCATGTGGGTGGACAGCCTGTGCTGGGCTTTGAGTTATGACATCGGATAAAAGGTCCAACTTCAGTTGGTGAGTCTTAAATCTTGGCACATGACTAGTGTTAAGGAGGCGATGTCCAGGATGGCCACGTGACAGGGTGGTATCTAAGCTGATATACCTGAAGGATGAGTGGAAGTAGAGATGGTGAGGGGAGGAAGAGAAGAACGTACTAAACAAAGAGCATAGCTTCTGGAAAAGCTGTGATGGCGAGAAATATGGCTCTTCCAGGAACTGCAGGAAGGTTGCTGGTGGTGGAAGATGTAGTGGTTAGTGGGGAGAGAGCAAGGCCAGAATGCACAGGCCCTTGTTGGCCATGATGTGGGGTTTGATGTCTTTGATAATGGAGTTTGATCTCAGCTATGGGAGCATTTTAAGTAGAAGAATTAGGTGGCTCAATTTTTTTTTTTTTTTTTCTGAGCCAGAGTCTTGCTCTGTTGCTCAGGCTGGAGTGCAGTGCTGTGATCTTGGCTCACTGCAACCTCCGCCTCCCGGGCTCAAGCGATTCTCATGCCTCAGCCACTTGACTAGCTGGGATTACAGGCGCCTGCCACCACACCTGGCTAATTTTTTGTATTTGTAGAGATGAGGTTTCACCCTGTTGGCCAGGCTGATCTCGAACTCCTGGCCTCAAGTAATCTGCCTGCCTCGGCCTCCCAAAGTTCTGGGATTACAGGTGTGAACCACTGTGCCTGGCCCACTCAATTTGTATTTTTAAAAGATTGCTCTGCTTAATCTATAGAGACAGAAACTTATTACTGGTCATCTAGGGCATGGGGAATGGGTAGTGGCTGCTCATGGGTGCAAGATTGCTTTTGGAGATGATGCAGATGTTCTAAAACTGGAGTATGGTGATGATTGCACAACTTAAAATATTCTAAAAGCAATTACACTTGATTGTGCATAAATCATATCTCAAGAAAGTTGTTTAAAAATTTAAGAAAGCGGCCAGGCGCGGTGGCTCACGCCTGTAATCCCAGCACTTTGGGACACTGAGGCAGGTGAATCACCTGAGGTCAGGAGTTCGAGACCAGCCTGACCAACAAGGTGAAATCCCTTCTCTACTAAAAACACAAAAATTAGCAAGGCTTGGTTGCAGGTGCCTGTAGTCCCACCTACTCGGGAGGCTGAGACAGGAGAATTGCTTGAACCTGGGAGGCAGAGGTTGCAGTGAGCCGAGATTGCGCCACTGCACTCCAGCCTGGGCAACAGAGTAAGACTCCGTCTCAAAAAAAAAAATTTAAGAAACCTCACTCTGCTTGCCCTAGGGAGAATGGACCATCCAGTATGAGGAGGGATGAGGGAGCTGTCAGGAGACTGCTCCAAGGAGAAAGATGGTGGTTTGGATTGGAGTGGTGCAGTGCAGGTGGAGAAAAGAGGGTATATGTGACAGGAAGCCAGGAGTAGGATTGGCGACTCTGGATATAGAGAGGAAAAGCAAAACTAGGAATCAAAGATGGCACCCAGGTTTCCAAGGAGGGGTTGAGTGGTGACGCCAGTCCTGTGATAGGGAACACTGAATGAAGTACTGTGGTTCTCTTTAGGGTTGTGTTTGGGGTACCTGTCCAAACCCAAGAGGTGATGTGGAGAACACATCTAGGGAGATGGGCTTGGAGCTCCAGGGGCAAGACCCAGATTTGAAATAGAAATTCTGACATCATTGGCCTATAACTCTTCATCAAAATCATAGTTACAGGCCACGTGCCATGGCTCACGCCTGTAATCTTAGCACTTTGGGAGGCCCAGACAGGCGGAACGCTTGAGCCCAGGAGTTCAAGACAAGCCTGGGCAACATAGTGACACCCCATCTCTAATAAAAATACAAAAAGTTAGCTGGGTGTTATGGTGCATGCCTGTAGTCCCAGCTACTTGGGAGGCTGAGGTGGGAGGATCGCTTGAGCCAGGAGGTCAAGGCAGTAGTGAGCTGTAATTGCACCCCTGTACTCCAGTCTGGGGAGAAAAAAAGAAAAGCCCTTTCTGCTCACACTTAGTCAGCTCCTAGCTGAGGGGACCTACAGATCACAGGGAAGCAGGAAGATCTAACGGCTTCTCTGTCCCCCTTACAGGTCACAGTCAAAGTGCCTCAGAAGAACTCATAAGAATCATGCAAGCTTCCTCCCTCAGCCATTGATGGAAAGTTCAGCAAGATCAGCAACAAAACCAAGAAAAATGATCCTTGCGTGCTGAATATCTGAAAAGAGAAATTTTTCCTACAAAATCTCTTGGGTCAAGAAAGTTCTAGAATTTGAATTGATAAACATGGTGGGTTGGCTGAGGGTAAGAGTATATGAGGAACCTTTTAAACGACAACAATACTGCTAGCTTTCAGGATGATTTTTAAAAAATAGATTCAAATGTGTTATCCTCTCTCTGAAACGCTTCCTATAACTCGAGTTTATAGGGGAAGAAAAAGCTATTGTTTACAATTATATCACCATTAAGGCAACTGCTACACCCTGCTTTGTATTCTGGGCTAAGATTCATTAAAAACTAGCTGCTCTTAACTTACTGGGTAACTCTTTGTCCATCTCAATAACCAAAGGAAGGTGGGCATGGTGGCTCACGCCTGTAATCCCAGCACTTTGGGAAGCCGAGGCGGGTGGATCACTCGAGGTCAGGAGTTTGAGACCAGCCTGGCCAACGTAGTGAAACCCTGTCTCTCACTAAAAATACACAAATTAGGCAGTCATGGTGGCTGGCACCTGTAATCCCAGCTACTTGGGAGGCTGAGGCAGGAAAATTGGTTGAACCTGGGAGGTGGAGGTTGCAGTGAGTGGAGATCATGCCACTGCACTCCAGCCTGGGAGTCAGAGCGAGACTCCATCTCAAAAAAAGTAAATAAATGAAATAGCCTAAGGAAATGCTGGCAGGCAGTAATGATATGGCACACTGGATATGATTTCTGCCCCTCCTCTGCTGTGGGTAAACAGCTTCTGTTTCATGCATTTACTTTTTTATTTTAATTACACCAATAAGAATGTGCTTGAATGTTTCATGCATTTAATTTGTTTCATGCATTTAACTTCTGGCCTGTTTACCTGTAGCAGGCTCTGAGATGTGCTCTAGAGACAGAACCTAAACATGATGCCCAAGAGAGGGGAGAGATACTGAATGTCCAATGTTCTCAAATTTTTTTTTTTTTTTTTTTTGAGACAGGGTCTTGCTCTGCCATCCAGGCTGGAGTGCAGTGGCACGATCATAGCTCACTGCTGCCTCGACCTCCTGGGCTCAAATGATCCTCCTGCTTCAGCTTCCTGGGCTAATGTTTGTATTTTTTGTGGAGATGGGACTTTGTTATGTTGCCCAGGCTGTTTTCAAACTCCTGGACTCAAGTGATCCTCCCGCCTTAGCCTCCTAAGGTGCTGGGATTACAGGTGTGAGCCACTGTGCCCAATTCAGTTCTCAGTAAAAACTTGATCAGGCCAAATGAAAGTGACATGGGCCAATTTCATAATAGATTGATTTGGAAACCAGATGTCAATTTACTTACTTTAAGTGAGATCTGTATCTTCAGTAACCAGACCTCTTGAGTCTCCCACCCAGAACACTATCTTCCTCTAGTCAAGATACCTGGCAAAGGCCGGGCACAGTGGCTCACGCCTATAATTCCAGCACTTTGGGAGGCCAAGGTGGGTGGGTCACCTGAGGTTGGGAGTTCGAGACCAGCCTGACCAACAGGGAGAAACCCCATCTCTACTGAAAATACAAAAAAAAAAAAAAAAACTAGCCGGGCATGGTGGCTCATGCCTGTAATCCCAGCTACTCAGGAGGCTGAGGCAGGAGAATTGCTTGAACCTGGGAGGCAGAGGTTGCAGTGAGCCAAGATTGCTCCATTGTACTCCAGCCTGGGCAACAAGAGAGAAACTCCGTCTCAAAATATAAATAAATAAGAAAAAGAAGAAATGGAAGCTGGGTTCAAGAGGGCAATCAGCAGTCTCTACCATCATGTGAAACACCACTCTGTGATTTGAGTCTTGACAATGTATTTTCTTTTTTTTTTTCTTCTTTTTTTTTTGAGACTGAGTCTCGGTCTGTCGCCCAGGCTGGAGTGCAGTGACGTGATCTTGGCTCACTGCAACCTCTGCCTCCTGGGTTGGAGCAATTCTCCTGCCTCAGCCTCCTGAGTAGCTGGGATTACAGGTGTGCGCCACCATGCCTGGCTAATTTTTGTATTTTTAGTAGAGACGGGGTTTTGCCATGTTGGCCAGGCTGGTGTTGAAGGCCTGACCTCAGGTAATCCACCCACCTCTGCCTCCCAGAGTACTGGGATTACAAGTGTGAGCCACCGTGCCCGGCCAACTGTAGGGACCAGCCCCACAGGGTCGGTGGGTTTTTCTCCCCATGTGCGGAGACGAGAGATTGTAGAAATAAAGACACAAGACAAAGAGGTAAAAGAAAAGACAGCTGGGCTTGGGGGACCACTACCACCAAGAGGCGGAGACCGGTAGAGGCCCCGAATGTCTGGCTGCACTGTTATTTATTGGATACAAAGCAAAAGGGGCAGGGTAAAGAGTGTGAGTCATCTCCAATGACAGGTAAGGTCACGTGGGTCACGTGTCCACTGGACAGGGGGCCCTTCCCTGCCTGGCAGCCAAGGCAGAGATAGACAGGGAGAGAGAGAGACAGCTTACGCCATTATTTCTGCGTATCAGAGACTTTTAGTACTTTCACTAATTTTGCTACTGTTATCTAAAAGGCAGAGCCAGGTGTACAGGATGGAACATGAAGGCAGACTAGGAGCGTGACCACTGAAGCACAGCACCACAGGGAGACGGTTAGGCCTCCGGATAACTAATGATTAATGATATTCATATATAATCATGTCTGTGATCTAGATCTAGTATAACTCTTGTTGTTTTATATATTTTATTATACTGGAACAGCTCGTGCCCTCGGTCTCTTGCCTCAGCACCTGGATGGCTTGCCGCCCACAGCCAACAATGTGTTTTCAATATGCTCCCCAAACTACAGCAAACTCCTCTTAACTCGGGATTTAGGGTGATGCCCTACTTATGCCTAACTTTATCACCAGCTTAACCCTCATCTCATTATATAGGATGATATTACTTCTAGGAAGATTTTCTATGTATGGAGGGTGCATCATTTAAGAGTATTTTAGGCCAGGCACTGTGGCTCATGCCTGTAATCCCAGCATTTTGGGAAGCTGAGGTGGGTGATTTGCTTCAGCCCACGAGTTCAAGATCAGCCTGGCCAATATGGTGAAACCCCATCTCTACAAAAAAATACAAAAATTAGCTGAGCGTGGTGATGTGTGCCTGTGGTCCCAGTTACTCTGGAGGCTGATGTGGGAGGATCACTTGAGCCCAGGAGGTCAAGGCTGCAGTGAGCTGTGATTGCACCACTTCACTCCAGCCCAGAGTGAGACCCCATCTCTGAAAAAAACACAAAAAACAAGAAAAGAATACTGCAAAGAACCTTGGTAGGGGTGAATTGGAAAAAGTAGAGAAATGTAATATTTCTTTCCTGCTGTACTCACTGTAACTGTGAGAGGATCGGCTCTTTTAACCAACAGATAAGAAAGGAAATATTAGCTATGAAGAAATGTCTATCAAGTTGATTTTGACAACCTAGACACATTAATCTCCTTGCACTTTTAGTGACAGGAACCCATTAGAACCTTAAGCAGCTGTCTGAAGTAAAAACAAAGCTCTCAGGTGATGAACCACCTAATCTCCCTGGGTATTCGGATGTGGGTCAGTCACAGGAGTATTAGGTGTAAAGCCGCTGCTTCTGGGTAGAGCCTCCACTTGTGGCTGCACAGAGGGCACAGAGAGCTTTTCCTTCAGCCCGGAGAAGCTTCCTAAGTGTGGGCGCCACCTTGTGGGACATACATTGAACTACGACGCTATTTCTCCAAGAATTAACAGGACAGCCCCTCCCACCGGTGTCCTTCCAACGATGTTGCATACAATTTGGCTGTACATTTGGCAGGCAGTGTAATGAGGGAATCAAAGACCAGGATCACATACTGGAAAGAATTGAAAACAGAGACTCCCAACAAAAACTTGTACACGGACGTTCACAGCAGCACTATTCACGACAGCTCAGAGATGGAATCAACCCAAATATCAGTCAATAGATGAATGGACAGACAAAATGTGACATATCCATGCAGTGGAATATTATTTAGCCATAAAAAGGAAGGAAGTGCTGATGCATGTTGCGATGTGGATGAACCTTGAAAACATGATGCTGAGTGAAAGAAGCCAGACACAAAAGGAGAAGGACTGTATGATTTCACTTATAGGAAATATCCAGAACAGGCAAATCTATATAGAGAGAAGGTCGATTGCTGGGGGCCCTGGGAAGGGACCAAGGGGGAGTGACTTCTAATGGTGGGGTGCCCTTTTGGGGTGATGAAAATGTTTTGGAACCAGATACAGGTGGTGGTTGTACAACATTGTGAATTTACTAAATGCAACCAAATTGCTCACTTAAAAACAACAAATTCAGGCCAGGTGCAGTGGCTCACACCCGTAATCCCAGCACTTTGGGAGGCCGAGGTGGGCGGATCACATGAGGTCAAGAGTTCGAGACTAGCCTGGCCAACATGGTGAAATCCCATCTCGGCCGGGCGCGGTGGCTCACGCCTGTAATCCCAGCACTTTGGGAGGCTGAGGCGGGTGGATCACGAGGTCAGGAGATCGAGACCATCCTGGCTAACACGGTGAAACCCCGTCTCTACTAAAAATACAAAAAATTAGCCAGGCGTGGTGGTGGGCGCCTGTAGTCCCAGCTGATCGGGAGGCTAAGGCAGGAGAATGGTGTGAACCCAGGAGGCGGAGCTTGCAGTGAGCCGAGATCGCGCCACTGCACTCTATCCTGGGTGACAGAGTGAGACTCTGTCTCCAAAAAAAAAAAAAGAAACCCCATCTCTACCCAAAATACAAAAATTAGCTGGGCATGGTGGCTGGCACCTGTAATCCCAGCTACTCAGGAGGCTGAGGCAGGAGAATTGGTTGAACCTGGGAGGCAGAGGTTGCAGTGAGCTAAGATCGCACCACTGCACTCCAGCCTGGGTGACAGAACGAGACTGTCTCAAAAAAAAAAAAAAAAAAAAGTGGCCAGGTGGTGCCATGGCTCATGCCTGTAATCTCAGCATTTTGGGATACTGAGGCGGGTGGATTACCTGAGGCCAGGAGTTCGAGATCAGCCTGGCCAACATGATGAAAACCCATCTCTGCTAAAAATACAAAAAATTGGCTGGGCTTGGTAGCATGTGCCCAGCTACTTGGGAGGCTGAGACAGGAGAATCGCTTGAACCTGGGAGGCAGAGGTTGCGGTTAGCCAAGATTGTGCCACTGCACTCCATGGGTGACACAGAGAGACTCTGTCTCAAAAAAAAAAAAAAAAAAGTAAATGCTATGTTATGTGAATTTCACCTCAACTGAAAAAAACAGGGTCCCAGAGCTGGTCAGGGGAACTTGGACAAACCACACAACTTCTGAGCTTCCATTTCCTCACAATCTCTGCAGTCACTTCCAACTCTCATTTGGCTTATTCTGTGAAGGATAAAACAGAGCTGACATTTGTTCATTTGTATTGATTTTATTTACATTTTTCAAAAGGAAATAGATGCAGATGGTATAGAAAGTTTCAGTGAAATGTAAATCTGATGCCCAATCCTGTGGCCCCAAGAAGTATTAACTGTGCACCCACTACATGCCAGGAACTGTACTTGGAGCCTTCTCAAGAGCTTCTTAACAATATTTTCATTTTTTATATTTTTTAATGACAGGGTCTAACTCCGTCGTCCAGGCTGGAGTGCAGTGGTGCGATCATAGCTCACTGCAGCCTCTACCTCCTAGGCTCAGGTGATTCTTCTGCCTCAGCCTCCCAAATAGCTGGTACTACAAGCATGTGCCACCACAGTCAGCTAATTATTTTTGGAGAGTCAGGGTTTCACTATGTAGCTCAGGCTGGTCTTCAGCTCCTGGCTTGAAGTGATCCTCCTGCCTTGGCACATAGAAGGGGTTACAATATACATATATTAGAGTGAGAGCATAGATGTGATGCCTGGCGATATGGCTTACTTATGAGACAGCACCTGACCTACAGCCATCTATGACTCCTACTGTATCTTCCATGCCAGGAGTAAGGGTGAGGATACCTGGCAATAATAAAAATAATAACCTGAGAGTCTAATGGCTTATTTTTTGTAGAGATGGGGTCTCACTGTGTTGTTTAGGCTGGTCTTGAACTTCTGGGCTCAAGTGATCCTCCCACCTCAGCCTCCTGAGTAGCTGGGATTATAGGCGTGCACTACCATGCATATATATATATATTTTTTTTTTTTTTTGAGAGAGAGAGAGAGAGATGGAGTCTTGCTATGTTGCTCAGGCTGGTCTCGAACTCCTGGCCTCAAGTCATCCTGCTGGCTTGGCCTCTCAAGTGCTAGGATTACAGGCATGAGACACTGGGCACAGCCCTAATAGCTTATTTTTAAAGCTATATCAAAATGTCATGCACCTGAACATTTGAAGTAACCTCTCTGATAGTACGGATATTTATCCCCTCAAAATCTCATGTTAAAATGTAATCTTCAGTGTTGGAGGTGGGGCAAGGTGTGAGGTGTTAGGATCATGGGGGTGGATCCCTCATGAATGGCTTGGTGTCCTCCCCCATGGTAATGAGTTCACTCAAGAGCTGGTTGTTTAAAAGGTGACGTGGACCTAATCCCTGTTGGACTGAACAAAAGGGGACGAACACAGCAATAAAGATAAAGACCAAAGAGTATATTTGGAAGAAGGGGTCAGGGGGCTCCTTGCTTCTAGTGAAAAAGGGCCCTGAGCTTTAGTGCCCTTTGTATTTATTGGGTAAAGGAGATAGGGAGAAGGGGGGGTGGTTGTCGGTCAGCAGCTTGATTCACAGCAGGCTCACAAGATTGCATTCTTTGAACAGTAGGCTCTAGATGTCTCAGTAGATAACCTCAAAGAGCATGGCGCCAGGGAGTGATTGCCCTCAGCGAACCTTCTGGCGGCTGAAGCAGAAGTGAGTTTGCCCACATTCTGCATTTATGATAAACAGTTTGCTGTTTGATCATATAGCCTCAGTGGAATGCTGAGTTGGTCACAACCCATGGGCATTCAGCTCTCTACATTTCCCCCTTTCTGTTTATGAATTAATTGAAAGAATGTAAGGCCAGGCTGGGCAGCTCTCATTTTCTGATTGGCAGTCCATCCAATTTTACAGACTATGAACAGAAGACAGAGACAAAACAACATTATTCCAAGGACTACATATAAGATGTTAATGTGGTGCTTTAGACAGGTCCAAGGGTTGAGGCTCTCCAGGCCTTGCTGGAATTTGGTCTAGTCTTCTAAAGAAGGCTGAAACTCTTGAGTTTGTTTATTTAAATCAAGAATTTTGTTTTGTAATTCACCGATATCAAAGGTGATGTTGGATGTGCAAGCTCCCTGCAAATGGGCTTTCACAAGGTCCCATGGATACTCACTTTGGTTATATTCTAAGTTGGTTACACAAATATGAGTGTGATTAAAATGATGGTGCAATTGCTGTTGCAATTGCAAGCTTTGTACTTGTTCTCCTAACTGTAGAGCCGTGGATTTCAACAATGCCACTTCAGTTTGTAACTCAGTGTTAATTTTATTCTGAAGTGGCCATGCTTGGTTGGCTATACGCATCCAGTTTTCCATGTACTGAGTTGTTTGAATAGAACTATGCAAAGCTACAGAGGACATCACAACGGAAGTTATTAATGTGACCAAGGAAACAATAGCAAAAATTATCATGCCTAAGGCTCTATGGGCACAATGAGTAAGTTGAGTTAGAAGATGTTTCATGAAGTGCAAAGCAGGTGTGGTAGCCCAAGGCTGGGACAGATTAACAGGAATCCATAGCCCAGGGATGCGACCCAAAATTATCAAAGTAGAGACATTATGTGTTTGCAATGTGCTATGATTAATGCAGTGACATAACTGGCAAGATTTACAGGTCAATTGGATATTGTTTACCTGGAGCTGGTCCTTCTTAGTTGCCAAAAAAGACATAAGGATTAAAAAGACAAACCATAAATTGAGTGGTGATATTCTTTACAAATGTAACATTAAGACTGTGTTGCTTACTATTGCTATCACTGGATAGTATCCCGCCATTCATAAATGGGAGTGCTGCCTTCCATAACATCTCTTGGATTGGTCCTTTCCTCCCTAGATAATGCCACTGAGGAAGAGGCGGGCTAAAGCCTGCTCCATGTCAAGCAATCTGGGTGGCAGACTGGGATTAGATCCCGGTGTGGTATAAAGAAGAAGCATTAAAATCTTGCCACCAATGCCAGCGAAGTTTGTGCCATGATTTCTGATTTTCATGTTTTCCATATAGTTGACCTTTAGGTCCCCAATCCACAATGTCTCCAGTTAACATAGATTGTTTTCTAGCCAGTGGGTCAAGACATTGGGTCCATGTCTTGGGGGGTAGTAACTATCGAAGGGAATCCATTCCATATAGTCAGCACGATTAGGGTGATTGGGCCGGGAATGGTTGGTTAGCACACCTGTTACATTAATAGAACCAAGACTTAATAGGCACATGACTTTTCCATAATGACTCAACCATTCTTGAGCTTGAATTATAAGACAGCTACAGTTAAGCGATGTCTTTGTAGTGATACACAAGGGGAGTCCTTCTAGTGGGGTGGTATAATTAATGACATTGTTCTGAGAGTCTAACTGTTCTATTTTAAGGGGAGTTAGGGGTCCTGGAGCCCATACTTGCTGATCACGATAAATCTCAGGAGGAGTGTCACTCCAAAGCATAGGTTGTACTACTAGGGGATTGGGAACATATGCCCAAAATGTTTTTGCCTCTGCACAGGGAAAACATACCACACAGGACATTATGGCTAACATGGCCAAGAACATGGAATCAGGGTGTTTTGCCTGGCTCTGATGCTCCAGTAGTTTCCCAGCTTCCTGAGTGGTATTCTTGAGTTGCCCCCAGGTTATGGGGGTTGATGTCGTCATGACTCCGGTCGGCCTTCTCTCCATCTTTGCACTCTGGCTCAGCTGGCTCATGGCTCATACCAGAGGGACCAGGCCCATAGTTGGCCACCCTGGGTTCCTCTAGTCTCCCGTTCCATGGTCACATGCACCTTGAGGGCACCCACACGGCTTGTCCATCTCCCATAAAAACACAAGCATACCCTCATCCCCACGTCAGTAAATCCAACAGACCTTTCCATTGTCTTTTTTCCGGGGGATTTCAATAACACTTTCGGATAAACTTTCCTCTTTTCCTCTAACACTTGCCAATGTCTTTCTGCTGGAGTCTTACCATCTGTACCAGGAGTCAAAAAAATTTAAAGAAAATAAGGCTAAGTGTAGTTTTGTTTGAGGTGTAACTGGTCTCCTATCCCTCTTTTCTGTTTTTCCCTTTTTTTTTTTTTTTTTTTTTTTTTTTTTTTGAGACAGAGTCTTGCTCTGTCACCAGGCTGGAGTGCAATGGCACGATCTTGGCTCACTGCAACCTCCACCTCCTGGGTTCAAGTGATTTTCCTGCCTCAGCCTCCCAAGTAGCTGGGACTATAGGTGCGCGTCACCACGCCCAGCTAATTTTTGTGTTTTTAGTAGAGACGGGGTTTCACCATGTTGGCTAGATGGTCTCGATCTCTTGACTTCATGATCTGCCCACCTCGGCCTCCCAAAATGCTGGGATTACAGGCATGAGCCACCGCACCTGGCCCCTTTCTGTTTTTTCAACACGTGTTGTAATGTTTGATGTGCCAACTCTATAATTCCTTGTCCTCTAGGATTATAATAATTCCTTTTTTATGGGTTATAGCTCAAAGCTGTAAGAATTTTGAAAAGCATGACTAGTATAAGCTGGTCCATTGTCAGGTTTTAATTGTTTAGTTATCCCCATATGAGCAAATGATGACAAACAATGTTGCCGTACATGACCAGCTGTCTCACCTGTTTGGCATGTAGCATGCAGCATATGAGAATAAGTGTCTATAATTAGTGAACATAGCTAAGTTTACTAAAGGCTGCTACATGTGTAACATCCATTTGCCAGATTTCATTTGGAGCCAAACCTCATGGGTTACAACCTTCTACAGGTGTGGCTCCAGGGACATGCTGGCAAGTAGGACAGGCTTGTATTATAGCCCTAGCTTGGCTGCGAGAGAAATGGAACATGCGAGTAGGGCAGAAGTACTTTGGTGCAGAGGCTTGAGCTTGCTGAAACACAGAACTAATCAGTTTATCTGCTCTATCATTACCTAGAGATAGTGGTCCAGGAAGTTGTGTGTGAGAGCGAATATGAGAAATATGAAAAGGAGATGAAGGAGAGCCAATAGTTGTTTGAAGTCTTAGAAACAAATTAAGCAGTTCTGGGTCTAGTGTATTTTTAATTGTAGCAGTTTCTATGCAACTGGCTACATTTACAACATAAGTTGAATTACAGACAATGTTGATAGGATCTGCAGCTGTCAGCTGTAAAACCTGAATGACTGCAATTAAGTCTGAGCGCTGAGCTGAAACCCCAGAGGTCATTATTGTTTGAGTATGTTTAGGTCCATAAATAGCTGCATGAGCTTTAGAAGAGCCATCAGTAAAATAAGTCTGGCCACCTGAAATAGGCTTGTGATGAGTAATCACAGGAAGAATGAAAGAATGGACTTTATAAAACTGCAAAACTTTGTCTGAGGGATAGTGGTTGTCTATGGCACCCACAAAGTCTGCAAAAGTGATTTGCCAGGCAGTTGACATTTCCCAAGCTGTGGACTGTTGCTGAGAGTCTAAAGGAACAATAATTTTATCTGGATCATATCCCATAGGCATCTTTGACCTATGCCTGCCCATAGTCACAATTTGTGTAATTAAAGAAAGATAGACTTGCAAAGTTTTGACTGATTAGGTAGAAAGAGCCATTCTATTACGGTTACAGATTTGTCTAAGCATTGGCCTAAAAGTCCTGTTGGAGAGTGAGGGATAGGAAGAACAAACAAAAGCAAAGGTTTTTGTGGCTGTAGCCATGAGGCATGTCATTGCTGTAGCATCTGCTCTACAAGTTGTAACTCCACTTCTGCCTCTTTGGTCAATTGCTGTGGGGAATTTAAGGAAGAATCTCCTTGCAGGGTTTGATAAAGATGTGTAAGTTGATAAGTTGCAATACCTAGCATTGGTCACAGCCAATTTATATCTCCTAATAATTATTGAAAATCATTTAAAGTCTGTAACCTGCCTTTATGGAGAACTACTTTCTGAGGCCGTACACTATTGGGGAACCTGCCCCGATATTCATGTAGGTTCTTTTCTATTTTTCCTAAGCATTGGCCAGCTTGAGAAATAAAGGGACAGAGTACAAAAGAGAGAAATTTTAAAGCTGGGCATCCGGGGGAGACATCACATGTCGGTAGGTTCCGTGATGCCCCACAAGCCGCAGAAACCAGCAAGTTTTTATTAGGGAGTTTCAAAAGGGGAGGGAGTGTGCGAATAGGTGTGGGTGACAGACATCAAGTACTTAACAGGGTAATAGAATATCACAAGGTGAGTGGAGGCAGGGTGAGATCACATGACCACAGGACCAAGGCGAAATTAAAATTGCTAATGAAGTTTCGG
This sequence comes from Homo sapiens, assembly GCF_000001405.40. Classification (NCBI taxonomy): domain Eukaryota; kingdom Metazoa; phylum Chordata; class Mammalia; order Primates; family Hominidae; genus Homo; species Homo sapiens. The sequence goes on from NC_000012.12 coordinate 111,821,078, forward strand.
GCACCATTGTCATTGATAACATCTTATCAGGAGACAGGGTTTTGAGATCAACCTTCTGACCAAAATTTATTAGGCGGGAATTTCCTCTTCCTAAGAAGCCTGGGAGCACTATGGGAGACTGGAATCTATTTCATCTCTGCAGCCTCAACCATAAGAGACAGGTGCACCTGGGGGGGCTGTTTATAAGCCTATACCTCCAGGTGCGTATTCTCTTTCTCAGGGATGTTCCATGCTGAGAAAAAGAATTCAGTGATATTTCTCCCATTTGCTTTTGAAAGAAGAGAAATATGGCTCTGTTCTGCCCAGCTCACCAGCGGTCAGAGTTTAAGATTATCTCTCTTGTTCCCTGAACAATTGCTGTTATCCTGTTCTTTTTTCAAGGTGCCCACATTTCATATTGCTCAAACACACATGCTGTACAATTTGTGCAGTTAATGCAATTATCACATGGTCCTGAAGTGACATACATCCTCCTCAGTGGACAGGATTAAGAGATTAAAGTAAAGACAGGCATAGGAAAGCACAAAGGTATTGACTGGGGAAGTGATAAGTGTCCATGAAATCTTTACAACTTATGTTTAGAGATTGCAGTAAAGACAGGCATAAGAAATTACAAAAGTATTAATTTGGGGAACTAATAAATGTCCATAAAATCTTCACAATCCACATTCTTCTGCCATGGCTTCAGCCAGTCCCTCTGTTTGGGGTCCCTGACTTCCTGCAACAGTACACTCCCCTCCATAACAATAGTTCCTAAGTATTAGTATGGGGAAGTTGTTTGCACTTTCTCTGGAGCAATTTTGAGATTCCATTTAATTAAAGCCTGTTTTGTTTCTCTGAATAACTGATGTAAAATTTGATCTGTAGGAGCGGCCAAAAGAATATCATCCATAAAATGAATGATATACACAGTGGGAAACATATTTCAAGGCTCCTTTAATGCTCTTCCCACAAAATGCTGACATAATGTAGGACTGTTAAGCATGCCTTGAGGTAAAACTTTCCATTGATAGTGAGAAACAGGTTCTCTATGATTAATAGAAGACACAGAGAAGGCAAATTGAGGCTTATCCTTCTCGTGTTATGGTATAGTAAAGAAACAATCCTTAAGATCTATTCCTACAAGAGGCCTGTCTCTTGGAATGGCTGCTGGGGAAGGTAAACCTTGCTGTAAGGCACCCATTGGTTTAATTTGCGCATTAATAACTCTCAAATCATGCAGTAGTCACCATCTTCCAGACTTTTTTGGAATAACAAATACCGGTGAATTCCAGGGGCTGACTTCTCTATATGTCCTGCATTCAATTGTTCTTTTACCAACAGATGAAGTTGATCTAGCTTCTCCTGTGTTAGGGGCCATTGATCCACCCACATAGGTTTGTCACAAAGCCATTCTAATGGTAAGGCAGTGGGTCGAGGAGAAATATCAATGATCCCCATCAGAAATCCTGACATCCTTGCCCTTTTCTGTTTCTCCAGTTATAGATATCGGGTTAGGGTTTCCTTGTAGGAATTTCCCTAAACCTTTTCCACTCTGATATCCCATGTCCTTCAACATTTTAAATCCTGGGTTATGAAAGTTTTCATTTGTAAGTCTCATATCCCATGCTGTAAGTAATTCTTGACCCCATAAATTGATAGCTATATTTGCATCATAAGGCTGGAAAGTACATGATTGTCCATCCGGACCAAGACAAGGTAAAATCTCAGCACTCTGTTGAACACTTTTAGCTGCTCCTACTCCCACTAGGGATGTGGAGGTTAGTCTGAGAGGCCATGCTGGGGGCCAGTCCTTACTGGATATTACTGACACATCAGCTCCTGTGTCCATAAGCCCATACAATTTCTTTCCTTTACTTTGTACTACACAGGTGGGTCTATTATAAGCTATAGGTTGTGAACATAGATTTCTCATGTAGTTGTGCTCCCAAACCCTTTATTTCCTCGTTTCTCCTTTTATGGAGAAGGGTGTAATTTGCAGGGAATAAGCAATAATTGAGCAATATATTCTTCCGGTTCAAAAACCCAAAGATCTTGTGACATTAAAACTACTTGAATTTCTCCTTCATAATCAGAGTCAGCTACTCCTGGGACTACAGTAATGCCTTGCAAGTTAAGGCAGCTTTTGCCTAAAATTAGTCTATGTATCCTGCTGGTAAAGGTCCCCAAATGCCAATGGGAACTTTGATAGGTTTGTCTCCACCAATTAATGTAATTCTTTCTCTGACTGGAAGATCTAATCCTGCACTTCCTGGTGTTCCTGGGGTGAGGGAATCAATGTTCCTCCTGGGACCCACCCCTGAAGTGGGGTTGTGGTCTGAACTGGGAATGCCCTCATTGTTTGAGGGGCCCGGGTCCAGGCCCCCTTCTCGTTTCCTGACAGGTGGTTGCAGTTTTGATGAAATTTTGAGCGGCATTGAATAGCCCAGTGATTTCCTTTGTTACAGTGAGGACAGAGTCCTGGCGTTTTTTTCCGCTGGGCCAGGGGGGTGGAGGGCACCACATTATAAGGTCCTTTCTGCCCTGAGATCAGGCAGCATTCCTTTTTAAAATGTCCAGTTTTTCCACAATTATAACATTTTCCCACTTTAGGGTTTGACCGTTGGCTCCTTTTAGATTTGTCAACTACTAAATTAGCCATTGCTTGAGCTAAAATTGCAGAGCAATGAAGCTCAGTTTCTACATCCTGACAAGTTCTGAGAAAATTTCCCAAGTTTTGTACACCTCACAGGTGCCAGTGCACGTTTACAATCTGCGTTTGCATTCTCAAAAGCTAAAGTTAAGGTTAGCATTTCTGTGGCAGCGGTATGAGGAATTTGATGCTTCACTGCCTCTTGTAATCTTGCAAGAAATTGCACATAGGGTTCCTGTGACCCTTGCATGAGATGTAAAAAGGATTGTACTGGGACTCTCTCTTCTGGAATTGTGGCCCAGGCGTGTTTAGCAGCCTGTGCACACTGCTGATAAGCAGGATCTGGGAGTGCCATTTGACATTCCAGGTCTGAATAAAGGGCCATTACCTAACAGCATACCCTCTGTAATGTCTCCGTGTCCAGAAGCATGATTCTGTCTAGCCTGGTCTGCACACATTTCTTGCCAATTTAAATTCCAAGTCAGGTATGCAGTAGCAGACAAACAAGTGCAAGCCAAATGTTTTACATCAAAGGGTAGAAGGCGCATAGCACCAAATACAGATTCTAGCAATCCTAAGGTGAATGGGCTCTGTATCCCATTATTAATTACACTTAATTTTTCATTCCTTCAACAACGTAAACTCTAGTGGGGTGTGTTCATGAATAAACTGCTGTGGATTGTTTGGATCAGGCCTTATGGAAATAGGAAAAGTGCAGGCAGCAGAGCATAAAATTCTTTGTATTGAGGTCTCTATTTCGGCTACTGAAGGAGGCGGTACAGATGTTTCTGCAACTGGAGGGGGCGGTATAGGCCAATTTTTATCCTCCCTCTCCTGTTTTTTATTTTCAATTGGTGCTGTGGGTGGGACAACAGATTCTTTCAGATTTTTAGACTCAGAACATGACTCCTGCTGTCCAGCAGAATAAAAAGGATATAATGGCAGAAGGACAGTATGAACTAAACTCCTAGTGGAGAAAGCAGAAGAATCAACTTTAAGACCTTTTTGATGAGCCTGTTTTAATCCTTCTCCTGCTCTGTGCCAATTTTCTACATCAGGAGTGCCTGCCTGTGGAAACCATGGGTTATGCGTAATAACCTCCTGCAGCATCTTAGTTAATGTCTGAGAATTAACCTGAGCACCAGATTGTTTCAACAAAACTTTAAGCAACTGCACGTTTTTTTTTTCAACAGACAAATTCTGCCCCATGTTACCTGATTCAGAAAAATTCCCATTCCCAGTACTTCTTTTTTTTTTTTTTTTTTTTTGAGATGGTGTCTCGCTCTGTCACCCAGGCTGGAGTGCAGTGGTGCGATCTCGGCTCACTGCAAGCTCCACCTCCCAGGTTCACACCATTCTCCTGCCTCAGCCTCCCGAGTAGCTGGGACTACAGGCGCCCGCCACCACGCCCAGCTATTTTTTTGTATTTTTTAGTAAAGACGGGGTTTCACCGTGTTAGCCAGGATGGTCTCGATCTCCTGACCTCGTGATCTGCCCACCTCGGCCTCCCAAAGTGCTGGGACCCAGTACTTCTTTAAGAGAGCACTGACCTTATATTGCTCCCAGTACCTCGTTAGGGCACTGACCTTATATCTGCTGCCAGTGGACTCATCCCAGTGTCCCCATTCGTCTTGTCAATTTCAGCTTCTCTGCTTCAGCAGACCTTCTTCGTTCATGTCCTCAGAGTCCCTGTTCTGGGGTGCCACTTTGATGCGTGAATGGACCTTGGTGGACTGAACAAAGGGGGACGAATGCGAGAATAAAGATAAAGACAAAAAAGCATATTTGGAAGACATGGTCGGGGGCTCCTTGCTTCTAGTGAACAAGGGCCCTGAGCTTTAGAGCCCTTTGTATTTATTGGGTAAAGGAGATAGGGAGAAGGGTGGGGGGTGGTTGGTGGTCAGCAGCTTGATTTACAGCAGGCTTGCAAGACTGCATTATTTGAACAGTAGGCTCTGGATGTCCCAGTAGATAACCTCAAGGCATACAGTGCCGGGGAGTGATTGCCCTCAGCAAACCTTCTGGTGGCTGGAGCAGAAGCAAGTTTGCTCACATTCTGCATTCATGATAAACAGTTTGCTGTTTGATCATATAGCCTCAGTGGAATGCTGAGTTGGTCACGACCCACGGGCATTCAGCTCTCTATGAAAAGGAGCCTGGCATCTCTCTTGCTCCCTCCTGCCATCGGATATGCCAGCTCCCCCTTTGCCTTCTGACAGGCTTTCTAAGCTTCCTGAGGCTTCACCGGAAACAGAACAGATGCTAGTGCTGTGCTTGTACAGCCTGCAGAACCATGAGCCAAATCAATCTCGTTTCTTTATAAATTACTCTGCTTCACAGCTGGGCATGGTGGCTCACATCTGTAATCCCAGCACTTTGGGAGGCCGAGGTAGGTGGATTACTGAGGTCAAGAGTTCGAGACCAGCCTGACCAACATGGTGTAACCCCATCTCTAATAAAAATACAAAAATTAGCCAGGCATGGTAGGGCATGCCTGTAATCCCAGCTACCCAGGAGGCTGAGGCATGAGAATTGCTTGAACCCAGGAAGCAGAGGTTGCAGTGGGCCAAGATCGTGCCACTGCATTCCAGCCTAGGCAACAGAGCCAGACCCTGTCTCAAAAAAATAAAAATAAAAAATTACCCAGCTTCAGGTATTCTTTTATAGCAATGCAAAACAGACTAACACACTGTCTTTTTTTCTCAGCTGTAAAGTGAGAATAATCATTGTGAAATGAGATATTAAAATTCTTTGGAATCATGCCTCCTCAGCAGCTTTACAAGGCTACCATGTGGAGTTGTTCAGTGGGTATAGAGTTTCAGTTTTGCAACATGAAAAAGTTCTTGAGACTGGCTGCACAACAGTGTGGATATACTTAACGTTACTGAATTGTACTCTTAGAAATCGTTAGGATGAAGCTGGGCACGGTGGCTTATGCCTGTAATCCCAGTACTTTGGGAGGCAGAGGAGGGTGGATCATCTGAGGTCAGGAGTTTGAGACCAGCCTGGTCAACATGGTGAAATCCCGTCTCTACTAAAAATACAAAAAATTACTTGGGCATGGTGGTGGGTGCCTGTAATCCCAGCTACTCAGGAGGCTGAGGCAGGAGAATCGCTTGAACCCAGGAGGCGGAGGTTGCAGTGAGCCGAGATTGCACCATTGCACGCCAGCCTAGGTGACAGAGCAAGACTCCATCTCAAAGAAAAAAGAAATGGTTAGGCTGGTACATTTTATGCTATGCATTGTTTCTCAGAATAACAAAATTTTTAAGGAAATGACCACCACGTGAGATACCTAAAAAGCTGTCCCAGGAGAGGGATGATATTTATTCTGTGAGCTCTGAGAGGGGAGACAGGAGCCAGTTAGCAACCACTGAGTACTCCAGCCGGCCCACAAAGCCCCAGCATGGATGCTGCACCTGAGTGAGGCTGGCCTTGGAGACCTCTGGGCCCCTTCCAGCTCAGAGGTCTGAAGGATTTGAGCTGAGTCAGGTCAGCAGATGCTAGAACTTTCCATTCACAGACTGTCCAGTTTTGCTATATTTGAGGAACAGAAACAGGTCAGAAAGCAGGGCATGCTCTCATACTACTAGGAAAACATAATGTGATGCAACCTTTATTATTATCATTTATAGTATTATTTTTAAATTTTGTTATTTATTTATTATTTTATTTATTTTTTTTTGAGATGGATTTTCCCTCTTGTTGCCCCAGCTGGAGTGCACTTGCACAATCTCGGCTCACTGCAACCTCTGCCTCCCAGTTTCAAATGATTCTCCTGCCTCAGCCTCCTGAGTAGCTGGGACTACAGGCGTGTACCACCATGCCCAGCTAATTTTTGTATTTTTAGTAGAGACCGGGTTTCTGCATGTTGGCCAGGCTGGTCTCAAACTCCTGACCTCAGGTGATCCGCCCGCCTCAGCCTCCCAAAGTGCTGGGATTACAAGTGTGAGCCACCGTGCCCAATCTTTTTATTTATTTTATTGAGATAAGGTCTTGCTGTGTTACTCAGGCTGGTCTTGAACTCCTGGCCTTCCAGAGTGCCAAGATTACAGGTGTGAGCCAAGGTGCCCAGAAGGCACAACCTTTCTGGCAGGCATTCACAACTAAGAACTTAATCCAAGAGCACAATTGGCCAAGCGTGTGACGTTAGAGAAGAGCACTGTTGTTGTGAACTTCAACCAATGAAGATGGCCTGAGAAAAACCTGTGACAGCTTGGCAGAATTCAGAAGGATGAGACATCACTCCAACTGAGCCACGAAAATATGGTCTGGAGGCAGGGAACATAAGCCCAATTCACACTTCAGCTATGACAGAAAATATCCTCTCCATTTACATAGGGCGTACACCGAGTAAATGACTTTGTAACTTTACTTCATTCTCTTCTTTTACATAGGGTGTACACTGAGTAAATGACCTTGTAACTTTACTTCATCCTCTTTATTTACATATGGCGTACACCAAGTAAATGACTTTGTAGCTCTACTTCATCCTCTTCATTTATGTAGGACATATACCAAGGAACTGATGGAAACTTCTAGAGGGTATTTAAACCCCAAAACATTCTGTAATGGGGCCCTTGAGCCCCTATGCTCAGCCTGCTACCACACTGTGGAGTATACTTTCATTTTCAATAATTTTCTTCATTTCTTTCCTTGCTTTGTGCGTTTTGTCCAATTTTTTGTTCAAGACACCAAGAACCTGGACACCCTCCACCGGTGACACAACCATCAGGCAATAGGGGTACACCTGGGAAGGACAAGGGACAGTTAGTGCAGTGAGGAATGGGAGGCAGGGCCGAGTCTCTCTGAGCTGGGAGGCTGCTCCTTCTGGCCTCTCCAAAGCCTCACTGCTTCCATTTCCCGAGGCAGATAAGGACTGCCTCAGCCTGGGACAAAACGACCTCTCTGTGTCCACAGCCACCCACAATTGGCATAATGTTCCAGTCTCACTTCCCAGGAGCCTCTGAAGGGCCCAGCTTGGGTCAGATGGCCATTCCTGGGCCAGTCAGCTATGGCCAGGGGATGGGGTCACATGGCACCCACATGAAGCAAGGCCTATCCCTTAAGTAGGGGCTGTTGAGTGACAGGAACCGTGGAGGTGTTGACAGCCGCTCCTCAAAGTATGGTCCTAGACTGAGCAGCAGCACTTACATCACTCGGCAGCTTCTTAGCAATACAGAATCTCAGGCCCCACCCCACACCTAAGGAATCAGAATCTGCTTATTTATTTATTTATTTTGATGATAGGTGCATGCCACCACACTTGGCTAATTTTTGTATTTTTAGTGGAGTCAGGGTTTCTCCATGTTGGCCAAGCTGATCTCAAACTCCTGACCTCAAGTGATCCACCCGCCTCAGCCTGCCAAAGTGCTGGAATTACAGGCGTGAGCCACCGCACCCAGCCTGTAGCCCACATATTGATCCTGTCTGTTCTTTTTTTCTTTTTATTATTATTATTATTATTATACTTTAAGTTTTAGGGTACATGTGCACAATGTGCAGGTTAGTTACATATGTATACATGTGCCATGCTGGTGTGCTGCACCCATTAACTCATCATTTAGCATCAGGTATATCTCCTAATGCTATCCCTCCCCCCTCCCCCACCCCACAACAGTCCCCAGAGTGTGATGTTCCCCTTCCTGTGTCCATGTGTTCTCATTGTTCAATTCCCATCTATGAGTGAGAACATGCGGTGTTTGGTTTTTTGTCCTTGCGATAGTTTACTGAGAATGATGATTTCCAATTTCATCCATGTCCCTACAAAGGACATGAACTCATCATTTTTTATGGCTGCATAGTATTCCATGGTGTATATGTGCCACATTTTCTTAATCCAGTCTATCATTGTTGGACATTTGGGTTGGTTCCAAGTCTTTGCTATTGTGAATAGTGCCACAATAAACATACTTGTGCATGTGTCTTTATAGCAGCATGATTTATAGTCCTTTGCGTATATACCCAGTAATGGGATGGCTGGGTCAAATGGTATTTCTAGTTCTAGATCCCTGAGGAATCGCCACACTGACTTCCACAATGCTTGAACTAGTTTACAGTCCCATCAACAGTGTAAACATGTTCCTGTTTCTCCACATCCTCTCCAGCACCTGTTGTTTCCTGACTTTTTAATGATTGACATTTTAACTGGTGTGAGATGGTATCTCGTTGTGGTTTTGATTTGCATTTCTCTGATGGCCAGTGATGATGAGCATTTTTTCATGTGTCTGTTGGCTGCATAAATGTCTTCTTTTGAGAAGTGTCTGTTCATATCCTTTGCCCACTTTTTGATGGGATTGTTTGTTTTTTTCTTGTAAATTTGTTTGAGTTCATTGTAGATTCTGGATATTAGTCTTTTGTCAGATGAGTAGGTTGCGAAAATTTTCTCCCATTTTGTAGGTTGCCTGTTCACTCTGATGGTAGTTTCTTTTGCTGTGCAGAAGCTCTTTAGTTTAATTAGATCCCATTTGTCAATTTTGGCTTTTGTTGCCATTGCTTTTGGTGTTTTAGACATGAAGTCCTTGCCCATGCCTATGTCCTGAATGGTAATGCCTAGGTTTTCTTCTAGGGTTTTTATGGTTTTAGGTCTAATGTTTAAGTCTTTAACCCATCATGAATTAATTTTTGTATAAGGTGTAAGGAAGGGATCCAGTTTCAGCTTTCTACATATGGCTAGCCAGTTTTCCCAGCACCATTTATTAAATAGGAAATCCTTTCCCCATTGCTTGTTTTTCTCAGGTTTGTCAAAGATCAGATAGTTGTAGATCTGTGGCATTATTTCTGAGAGCTTTGTCCTGTTCCATTGATCTATATCTCTGTTTTGGTACCAGTACCATGCTGTTTTGGTTACTGTAGCCTTGTAGTATAGTTTGAAGTCAGGTAGCGTGATGCCTCCAGCTTTGTTCTTTTGGCTTAGGATTGACTTGGCAATGCGGGCTCTTTTTTGGTTCCATATGAATTTTAAAGTAGTTTTTTCCAATTCTGTGAAGAAAGTCATTGGTAGCTTGATGGGGATGGCATTGAATCTATAAATTACCTTGGGCAGTATGGCCATTTTCACAATATTGATTCTTCCTATCCATGAGCATGGAATGTTCTTCCATTTGTTTGTATCCTCTTTTATTTCATTGAGCAGTGGTTTGTAGTTCTCTTTGAAGAGGTCCTTCACATCCCTTGTAAGTTGGATTCCTAAGTATTTTATTCTCTTTGAAGCAATTGTGAATGGGAGTTCACTCATGATTTGGCTCTCTGTTTGTCTGTTACTGGTGTATAACAATGCTTGTGATTTTTGTACATTGATTTTGTATCTTGAGACTTTGCTGAACTTGCTTATCAGCTTAAGGAGATTTTGGGCTGAGACAATGGGGTTTTCTAGATATACAATCATGTCGTCTGCAAACAGGGACAATTTGACTTCCTCTTTTCCTAATTGAATACCCTTTATTTCCTTCTCCTGCCTAATTGCCTTGGCCAGAACTTCCAACACTATGTTGAATAGGAGTGGTGAGAGAGGGCATCCCTGTCTTTTGCCAGTTTTCAAGGGGAATGCTTCCAGTTTTTGCCCATTCAGTATGATATTGGCTGTGGGTTTGTCATAGATAGCTCTTATTATTTTGAGATATGTCCCATCAATACCTAATTTATTGAGAGTTTTTAGCATGAAGGGTTGTTGAATTTTGTCAAAGGCCTTTTCTGCATCTATTGAGATAATCATGTGGTTTTTGTCTTTAGTTCTGTTTATCTGCTGGATTACATTTATTGATTTGCATATATTGAACCAGCCTTGCATCCCAGGGATGAAGCCCACTTGATCATGGTGGATAAGCTTTTTGATGTGCTGCTGGATTTGGTTTGCCAGTATTTTATTGAGGATTTTTGCATCAATGTTCATCAAGGATATTGGTCTAAAATTCTCTTTTTTGGTTGTGTCTCTGCCCGGCTTTGGTATCAGGATGATGCTGGCCTCACAAAATGAGTTAGGGAGGATTCCCTCTTTTTCTATTGATTGGAATAGTTTCAGAAGGAATGGTATTAGTTCCTCCTTGTACCTCTGGTAGAATTCGGCTGTGAATCCATCTGGTCCTGGACTCTTTTTGGTTGGTAAGCTATTGATTATTGCCACAATTTCAGCTCCTGTTATTGGTCTATTCAGAGATTCAACTTCTTCCTGGTTTAGTCTTGGGAGAGTGTATGTGTCGAGGAATGTATCCATTTCTTCTAGATTTTCTAGTTTATTTGCGTAGAGGTGTTTGTAGTATTCTCTGATGGTAGTTTGTATTTCTGTGGGATCGGTGGTGATATCCCCTTTATCATTTTTTATTGCGTCTATTTGATTCTTCTCTCTTTTTTTCTTTATTAGTCTTGCTAGCGGTCTATCAATTTTGTTGATCCTTTCAAAAAACCAGCTCCTGGATTCATTAATTTTTTGAAGGGTTTTTGTGTCTCTATTTCCTTCAGTTCTGCTCTGATTTTAGTTATTTCTTGCCTTCTGCTAGCTTTTGAATGTGTTTGCTCTTGCTTTTCTAGTTCTTTTAATTGTGATGTTAGGGTGTCAATTTTGGATCTTTCTTGCTTTCTCTCGTGGGCATTTAGTGCTATAAATTTCCCTCTACACACTGCTTTGAATGTGTCCCAGAGATTCTGGTATGTTGTGTCTTTGTTCTTGTTGGTTTCAAAGAACATTTTTATTTCTGCCTTCATTTCGTTATGTACTCAGTAGTCATTCAGGAGCAGGTTGTTCAGTTTCCATGTAGTTGAGCGGTTTTGAGTGAGTTTCTTAATCCTGAATTCTAGTTTGATTGCACTGTGGTCTGAGAGACAGTTTGTTATAATTTCTGTTCTTTTACATTTGCTGAGGGGAGCTTTACTTCCAACTATATGGTCAATTTTGGAATAGGTGTGGCGTGGTGCTGAAAAAAATGTATATTCTGTTGATTTGGGGTGGAGAGTTCTGTAGATGTCTATTAGGTCCGCTTGGTGCAGAGCTGAGTTCAATTCCTGGGTATCCTTGTTAACTTTCTGTCTTGTTGATCTGTCTAATGTTGACAGTGGGTGTTAAAGTCTCCCATTATTATTGCTTGGGAGTCTAAGTCTCTTTGTAGGTCACTCAGGACTTGCTTTATGAATCTGGGTGCTCCTGTATTGGGTGCATATATATTTAGGATAGTTAGCTCTTCTTGTTGAATTGATCCCTTTACCATTATGTAATGGCCTTCTTTGTCTCTTTTGATCTTTGTTGGTTTAAAGTCTGTTTTATCAGAGACTAGGATTGCAACCCCTGCCTTTTTTTGTTTTCCATTTGTTTGGTAGATCTTTCTCCATCCTTTTATTTTGACCCTATATGTGTCTCTGCACATGAGATGGGTTTCCTGAATACAGCACACTGATGGGTCTTGACTCTTTATCAAACTTGCCAGTCTGTGTCTTTTAATTGGAGCATTTAGTCCATTTACATTTAAAGTTAATATTGTTATGTGTGAATTTGATCCTGTCATTATGATGTTAGCTGGTTATTTTGCTCGTTAGTTGATGCAGTTTCTTCCTAGTCTCGATGGTCTTTACATTTTGGCATGATTTTGCAGTGGCTGGTACAAGTTTTTCCTTTCCATGTTTAGTGCTTCCTTCGGGAGCTCTTTTAGGGCAGGCCTGGTGGTGATGAAATCTCTCAGCATTTGCTTGTCTGTAAAGGATTTTATTTCTCCTTCGCTTATGAAGCTTAGTTTGGCTGGATATGAAATTCTGGGTTGAAAATTCTTTTCTTTAAGAATGTTGAATATTGGCCCCCACTCTCTTCTGGCTTGTAGAGTTTCTGCCAAGAGATCCGCTGTTAGTCTGATGGGCTTCCCTTTGTGGGTAACCCGACCTTTCTCTCTGGCTGCCCTTAACATTTTTTCCTTCATTTCAACTTTGGTGAATCTGACAATTATGTGTCTTGGAGTTGCTCTTCTCGAGGAGTATCTTTGTGGTGTTCTCTGTATTTCCTGAATCTGAATGTTGGCCTGCCTTGCTAGATTGGGGAAGTTCTCCTGGATAATATCCTGCAGAGTGTTTTCCAACTTGGTTCCATTCTCCCTGTCAATTTCAGGTACACCAATCAGACGCAGATTTGGTCTTTTCACATAGTCCCATATTTCTTGGAGGCTTTGTTCATTTCTTTTTATTCTTTTTTCTCTAAACTTCCCTTCTCGCTTCGTTTCATTCATTTCATCTTCCATCACTGATACCCTTTCTTCCAGTTGATCACATCGGCTCCTGAGGCTTCTGCATTCTTCACGTAGTTCTCAAGCCTTGGCTTTCAGCTCCATCAGCTCCTTTAAGCACTTCTCTTTATTGGTTATTCTAGTTATACATTCGTCCAAAATTTTTTCAAAGTTTTCAACTTCTTTGCCTTTGGTTTGAATTTCCTCCTGTAGCTCGGAGTAGTTTGATCATCTGAAGCCTTCTTCTCTCAACTCGTCAAAGTCATTCTCCATCCAGCTTTGTTCTGTTGCTGGTGAGGAACTGCGTTCCTTTGGAGGAGGAGAGGTGCTCTGCTTTTTAGAGTTTCCAGTTTTTCTGCTCTGTTTTTTCCCCATCTTTGTGGTTTTATCTACTTTTGGTCTTTGATGATGGTGATGTACAGATGGGTTTTTGGTATGGATGTCCTTTCTGTTTGTTAGTTTTCCTTCTAACAGACAGGACCCTCAGCTGCAGGTCTGTTGGAGTTTGCTAGAGGTCCACTCCAGACCCTGTTTGCCTGGGTATCAGCAGCGGTGTCTGCAGAACCGTGGATTTTCGTGATCCGTGAATGCTGTTGTCTGATCGTTCCTCTGGAAGTTTTGTCTCAGAGGAGTACCCGGCCGTGTGAGGTGTCAGTCTGCCCCTACTGGGGGGTGCCTCCCAGTTAGGCTGCTTGGGGGTCAGGGGTCAGGGACCCACTTGAGGAGGCAGTCTGCCCCTTCTCAGATCTCCAGCTGCGTGCTGGGAGAACCACTGCTCTCCTCAAAGCTGTCAGACAGGGACATTTAAGTCTGCAGAGGTTACTGCTGTCTTTTTGTCTGTGCCCTGCCCCCAGAGGTGGAGCCTACCGAGGCAGGCAGGCCTCCTTGAGCTGTGGTGGGCTCCACCCAGTTCGAGCTTCCTGGCTGCTTTGTTTACCTAAGTAAGCCTGGGCAATGGCGGGCACCCCTCCCCCAGCCTCCCTGCTGCCTTGCAGTTTGATCTCGGACTGCTGTGCTAGCAATCAGCGAGACTCCTTGGGCATAGGACCCTCCGAGCCAGGTGCGGGGTACAATCTCCTGGTGCGCCGTTTCCTAAGCCCGTCGGAAAAGCGCAATATTCGGGTGGGAGTGGCCCGATTTTCCAGGCGCTGTCTGTCACCCCTTTCCTTGACCAGGAAAGGGAACTCCCTGACCCCTTGTGCTTCCTGAGTGAGGCAATGCCTCACCCTGCTTCGGCTGGCGCATGGTGCACTACACCCACTGTCCTGCGCCCACTGTCTGGCACTCCCTAGTGAGATGAACCCAGTATCTCAGATGGAAATGCAGAAATCACTCGTCTTCTGCGGTGCTCATGCTGGGAGCTGTAGACCGGAGCTGTTCCTATTCGGCCATCTTGGCTCCTCCTCCCCATCTGTTCTTTTTTTCTTGAGACAGAGTCTTGCCCTGTCACCCAGGCTGGAGTGCAATGGTGTGATCTCAGCTCACTGCAACCTCTGCCTCCCGGGTTCAAGCAATTCTCCTGCCTCAGCCTCCCGAGTAGCTGGGATTACAGGCACGCACTACTGAGAGGTGACAGTGTGCTGGCAGCCCTTGCAGCCCTCGCTCACTCTTGGCGCCTCCTCTGCCTGGGCTCTCACTTTGGTGGCACTTGAGGAGCCCTTCAGCCCACCACTGCACTGTGGGAGCCCCTTTCTGGGCTGGCCAAAGCCGGAGCTGGCTCCCTCAGCTTTCAGGGAGGTGTGGAGGGAGAGGCGCGAGCAGGAACCCGGGCTGCGCGCGGGGTTTGCGGGCCAGCTGGAGTTCCAGGTGGGCGTGGGCTTGGCAGTCCCCACACTTGGAGTGGCCGGCCAGCCCTGCCGGCCCCGGCAATGAGGGGCTTAGCACACGGGCCAGTGGCTGCAGAGGGTGTGTTGGGTCCCCCAGCAGTGCCGGCCCACCAGTGCTGTACTCGATTTCTCGCCGGGCCTTAGCTGCCTCCCGTCGGGGCAGGGCTCTGGACCTGCAGCCCCCCATGCCTGAACCTCCCCCCACTCCCTGGGCTCCTGTGTGGCCCGAGCCTCCCCGACGAGCACCACCCCCTGCTCCACGGCACCCAGTCCCATCAACCACCCAAGGGCTGAGGTGTGCGGGCGCACGGCACTGGACTGGCAAGCAGCTCCACCTGCGGCCCGGGTGCAGGATCCACTGGGTGAAGCCAGCTGGGCTCCTGACTGGTGGGGACTTGGAGAACCTTTATGTCTAGCTAGGGGATTGTAAATACACCAATTGGCACTCTGTATCTAGCTCAAGGTTTGTAAACACACCAATCAGCACCCTGTGTCTAGCTCAGGGTTTGTGAATGCACCAATCGACACTCTGTATCTAGCTGCTCTGGTGGGGACTTGGAGAACCTTTGTGTGGACACTTTGTATCTAGCTAATCTAGTGGAGAGGTGGAGAACCTTTGTGTCTAGCTCAGGGATTGTAAACGCACCAATCAACACCCTGTCAAAACAGACCACCACTCAGCTCTCTGTAAAATGGATCAATCAGCAGGATGTGGGTGGAGCCAGATAAGAGAATAAAAGCAGGCTGCCGGAGCCAGCAGTGGCAACCTGCTTGGGTCCCCTTCCACACTGTGGAAGCTTTGTTCTTTTGCTCTTTGCAATAAATCTTGTTGCTGCTCACTCTTTGGGTCCACACTGCCTTTATGAGCTGTAACACTCACCGCGAAGGTCTGCAGCTTCACTCCTGAAGCCAGAGAGACCACAAACCCACCAGAAGGAAGAAACTCGGAACACATCCGAACATCAGAAGGAACAAACTCCGGACACGCCACCTTTAAGAACTGTAACACTCACCGCGAGGGTCCACAGCTTCATTCTTGAAGTCAGTGAGACCAAGAACCCACCAATTCCGGACACACTACCATGCCTGAGTAATCGTATTTTTAGTAGAGACGGGGTTTCACCATATTGGCCAGGCCAGTCCTGACCTCGTGATCCACCCATCTTGGCCTCCCAAAGTGCTGGGATTACAGGCGTGAGCCACGGTGCCCAACCTTATTTATTTTTAATTTTTTAATTTTAAAAAATTTTTTGGAGACAGTCTTGCTCTGTCGCCCAGACTGGAGTGCAGTGGTGTGATCTTGGCTCACTGCAACCTCTGCTTCCCGGGTTCAAGCGATTCTCCTGCCTCAGCCTCCTGAGTAGCTGGGATTACAGGCAGGCGCCATCACGCCCGGCTAATTTTTGTACTTTTAGTAGAGATGGGGTTTCACCATATTGGTCAGACTAGTCTTAAACTCCTGGCCTCAAGTGATCCACCCACCTCGGCCTCCCAAAGTGCTGGGATTACAGGCGTGAACCACTGTGCCCGGCCAAATTTAGTACTTTAAAAAACATTTAAAAGTCTGTTTCTGTGGGTCGGGAGTTTGGGTATGGCTTGGCTGGGTGCGCCTGGCATAGTCTCTCACGGGGCCACGATCAAGTTGTGGGCTGGGGATGCCATCAGCTAAAGGCTCAATTTGGTGAGTATCCTTTCTAAGCTCATGTATGTGTGGGTAGTCCTTAGGTACTCACTGGCAGCTGGTAAGAGATGTTAGTTCCTCGCCATGTCTGTAATGGACTGAATAGTATATTGCCCCAAAATTCATGTTTGCACAGAAGCTCAGAATGTGACCTTATTTGGAAATAGGGTCTTTGCAGATGTAATTAAGATGAGATCGTGCTGGATGATGTTGGGCCCTAAATCCAACGACTGTTTTATTAAGAGGAGAGGACACAGAGAGACACACAGGGAAGGCCATGTGAAGACAGAGGAAGAGCCTGGAGTGATACAGCCAAAGAATGCCAAGGACTGTCTGGAGCCACCAGAAGGAAGGAGTCTTCCCTGTAGCCTTCAGAGGGAACATGGCTTTGTTGACACTTTTTTTTTTTTTTTTTTGAGACAGTCTCACACTGTCGCCCAGGCTGGAGTGCAGTGGCGTGATCTTGACTCACTGCAAGCTGTGCCTCTCGGGTTCACGCCATTCTCCTGCCTCAGCCTCCTGAGTCGCTGGGACTACAGGAGTCCGCCACCCGACCTGGCTATTTTTCTGTATTTTTAGTAGAGATGGGGGGTTTCACCGTGTTAGCTGAGACGGTCTAGATCTCCTGACCTCATGATCTGCCCAACTCGGCCTCCCAAAGTGCTGGGATTACAGGCATGAGCCACCGTGCCCCACCACTTTTTTTTTTGAGATAGAGTCTCGATCTGTTGCCCAGACTGGAGTTCACAGGTGCGGTCTCCGTTCACTGCAACCTCTCTGCCTCCCGGGTTCAGGTGATTCTCCTGGCTCAGCCTCCAGAGTAGCTGGGATTACAGGTGCCTGCCACCACCACTGGCTAATTTTTTTATTTTTATTTTTAGTAGAGACAGGGTTTCACCATGTTGGCC
Organism: Homo sapiens; assembly: GCF_000001405.40. NCBI lineage: Eukaryota > Metazoa > Chordata > Mammalia > Primates > Hominidae > Homo > Homo sapiens. The sequence goes on from NC_000012.12 coordinate 111,838,324, forward strand.
AGGCTGGTCTCGAACTCCTGACCTCAAGTGATCTGCCCGCTTTGGCCTCCCAAAGTGCTGGGAGTACAGGAGTGAGCCACAGTACTCGGCCTCTGCTGACACATTCATTACAGACTTCTAGCATCTGGAGCTGTGAGGATAAACTTCTGTTGTTTTAAGCCACCCAATTTGTGATACTTTGTTACAGCAGCCTTAGGAACCAAGTGAGCTGGCTTCCCTAAGAGCAGATAAGTAAAAGAGTCAGAGAGGGCCCCAATGGAAGCCAGAGTTTTTCTGCTACCTAATCTTGAACATGACATCTGTTCACTGAAAGCAAACCACTTGATCCAGACCACATGCAGGGCGAGAGGACTACATAAGATCATAAATACCAAGATGTGAGCATCACTGGAGGCTGTGAACCAGGGCTGCCACACCAGCAAAAAACAGAGGAATTTCATTGGAAGAAACCGCTTTCTTCAGGGTTCTGCCTTCTCCATTCATTGATTCCTTCGACAAATAAATTTATTAAGTACCTACAATGGACTGGGTATTAGGGACATATGACCAATAAGACAAATAAGATTCTTTCCCTTGTTGAGATTATTTAGTTACAGGATAATAGGAACATCTGATTTAGATTAGGAAAGGAGGGTATGGGCAAGGCATGCCTTTCTGAAAAAACATTATCAAGAATTGGCCAGGTGTGGTGGCTCACGCCTGTAATCCCAGCACTCTAGGAGGCTGACGTGGGCGGATCACCTAAGGTCAGGAGTTCGAGACCAGCCTGGCCAACATGGTGAAACCCTGTCTCTACTAAAAATACAAAAATTAGCCGGGCGTGGTGGCGGGTGCCTGTAATCCCAGCAACTCGGGAGGCTGAGGCAGAAGAATCACTTGAACTCAGGAGGCGGCGGTTGCAGTGAGCCGAGATCGCACCACTGCACTCCAGCCTGGGGGACACAGTGAGCCTCCGCCTCAAAGAAGAATAAAGTTGAAGAATGAGTAGAAACCAGGCTGTGTGTGTATGTGTGTGTGTTATGAGGGAAGCATGAGTTTCTAGGTAGTGGGAAAGCACGTGCAAATAAGTCGGTAAGTTGAACAGCTAGACTAAAAGCTGCTTGAGAGCAGGGACCTTGTCTCTTCATTGCTGCATCTCTATTATACGACATCATCTCTGCATCTCTATTACAAGACATAGAGCCTGGCAGAGAGAAATTCTTACTGGATGAAATGAATGAATAAATCCAAGGCATCTTCTATAGGTTAGTGCAAAAATGACTGCAGTTTTTGCCATTATTTTTAAATGGCAAAAACCACAATTACTTTTGCACGAATATTTCCTGTTACAGATGTCAACTGAAGTCATTTAAAAATTTTCTCCCAAAGTTCATCGCGGGATCATTGCTCTTATTCATATTAGGTAGCATAGGCAAAGCTGCTAGAACAAAAGACTCAAAGTAAGTAAACGGTCAACACAAGTTTATTTATTCTCACATAACAATACTGAGTGGATATTTAGGTCAGTAAGGCACAGTTCTCCTCCACTTAGGAATCTCCCATCTTCAGGCCTTGCCTTCTCCAGAGCCTGGTCACCATCTGCTTCCAGTTGGCAGAAGGAGTAACAGCACAGGGGAGCACCTGTTGGAGGTCTGTATGGGCCAGGCCTGGAAACTGCACACCTCTTCTGGTCACTTTCCGCTGGGGAGAGCATAGGCACAGAGCCACACTTAAATTTTACTTTGAGGAATGCAGTGTAGGTGTATGTCCGACAAAGAAAACAATAATTCGGTAGACAAATAAGTCTCCACTCCAATATTCAATTACTTACTTAACTTATGCTCTGGTATGTCTCAAATTAACCTAGATAGAAATGAACTCTGAATCTTCCACTTCCATCAAGTTTTTCACTCACTCAATGGCATCATTATCCATCCAGTTGCTTAAGCATACATTTGAAAGTTATCCTTGGTCTGTTTCTTATCCTTCCCTTCCACATCTAATCCTTCAGGAAGTCCTGACAATGTTACCTCCAAAATATGTCTTAAATCCATCTTCTCAGCCAGGCACGGTGGCTCACGCCTGTAATCCCAGTACTTTGGGAGGCCAAGGGAGGTGAATCACTTGAACTCAGGGGTTGGAGAGCAGCCGGGGCAATGTGGAGAGACCCAATCTCTACAAAAAAAATACGAAAAATTAGCCAGGCATGGTGGCATGCGCCTATAGTCCCAGCTACTCAGGATGCTGAGGTGGGAGGATCGCCTGAGCCCAGGAGGTCTAGGTTGCAGTGAGCTGTGATCACGCCACTGCACTCTAGACAGTGGGACCGTTTAAAAAAAAAAATCCATCTTCTCTACACCTTTACCGCCACCTCCTTAGTTCAGACAGTGTAATAATCTCTCATCTGCATTATTCTCCAATAGCCTCCTAATAGCTCTGTTTCCATTCTTGCTTTCCTATATTCTATTCTCTACAAAGCAGAGTGATCTTTTAAAACAAATTTGTTCACATCACTCTTTACTTTAAAACCTTACAATAGCTTAGAATAAAATCCAAAGTCCTGATTATGACCCCCAAAGGCCACATATGATGCAGCCCCTGCCCACATCTCCAACCTCATCCTTTTTATACTTTTTTTTTTCTTTTTTTGAAATAGAGACGGGGTTTCGCCATGTTGGCCAGGCCGGTCTCGAACTCCTGACTTCAAGTGATCCGCCCGCCTTGGCCTCCCGAAGTGCTGGGATTACAGGCGTGACCCACCGCGCCCAGCCTCCAACCTCACCCTTTATCAGTCTCCTCCTACTCGATCTACTCCAGCTACAATGACCTTCTTGCTGATTCTTGAACATATTTAGCTTATTTCCACCTTAAAATTTCTACCCATCTGCCCAGAAATCTTTCCTTGGATTTCCAATAGCCAGCCCTTTCTCATTCCTCAGGGGTCTCAGCTTAAATGTTACCTCCTGAGATTCCTTCCTTAATCATCTAATACGAAGAAGTCCCCACATCCAGTTATTCTCTTACCTCAGCATCCTGTTTATGTTCTTCTTAGCATCAGACTCGGGCTTTTTCCTGTTTATTACCTACTTCGTTTTCCTGAAAGATCCATGTGCCGGTACCATGTGTTGTTCCTACTGTTTCTCCAATGTCTAGTAGATTTGGCACATACTGATGTGCAATTAATACGTGAATGAAGAACCATTGACAGACGATTAGTCAAAAGCTCTTGCAAAGCCCTTTGATAGGTTATCGGTGGAGAGTAGGGAGCACAAACCTGGGGTCCCATTCTAGCTTGACCACTTCTCGGCTGTGCACAAACTAGTCTAGCTCTCCTGAGCCTCAGTTACCTATTTTGCAAATTAGGGATGGGAACATCCATACCTCACGACGCCAAACGGCTACCTTGTAAAGACGAAAGGAGGAAATGCAGGAAATAACTCCACGTAAGGTTAATGCTCCGTAAACAGAGCTGCTACTGCTATTATATATTCTATACAATCCTGCGCCCTTAACGGCAGGACCCTTTCAGTGCTTCAGTCCTGTCTTCTCTCTCCTGGGTTGACCTCCACAGATCCTCTCAGAAGAGCGTTTTCCAGGCGTGAATCTCCGCAGAGTGGAGATAAAGGCTGAGGCCCCAACGCACGCGCACTCACGCGAGTCCGGGCCTATGACGTCATTAGCGCAGCGCCATCGCCGCGGAAGGCCCAGGGGCCTGTCCTGTATGCGGCGTGTCTTAGGGAGGCCCAGGCGGACGCCTGCAAGTCGGGTGCGCGGTTCGGGGGCGGCTCGGAAACCCCAGCGGAAGGCAGCAAGGGGCGCGTGGGGCCGTGGAGTCACGAAGCTGGGCGGCAGGAGGGGCGGCCTGGAGCTCCCGCGGGGCACAGCGCGTGCGTGAGGGCGGCCGGCGGGGCTGCCCGGCGCGGGTGTCCCGGCGATGTGTGGCGCTGAGGCGGCGGCGGGAGCAGCGGCGCCGAGCTCTGCTTCGGCTTCGGCTTCGGCTTCGCGGCGGTGCAGGCGGCGGAGGCGGAGGCGCAGGCTCTTCTTTAGGACCTGGCGAGCCCAGGTCTAAGCGGCGGCCCCGCGAGGCCCTTGCACGGCGCCCCGGGTCGAGGCCCTCCCCGCCTCGCCCTACCCCAGGAGCCTGCCTCCCCAGCTGGGGATGAGGCTAGGAGGCGGCCGCGTGGGGCCCAGCACAAAGACCTGTCCCCAGGGGCCGCCGCCTCCGCCGCTGCTGCTGCCGCCAGCCTAGAGCCGCCCGCCGAAGCAGAGCCGGCGCCGGGGTCCTCATCCCCACCGGTCCCGAGGGGCGGCTGCTGCCCGTCGCCACGAGGCCCAGGGGCCCGAGTGCCGAGCCCTTTGCTCCCTCGGCCGCGCGGGGACAGGGCTGCTGAGCAGCCTCCGCCTCTCCCGGCTGTGGGGGCCCCACTGAGTATGTCGGAGGAGAGCGACATGGACAAAGCCATCAAGGTAAGGGGGAGGTGCCCCCTCTTCCCCCGCGTTGTCCTGTGGCGTTCTTCTCGGCTCTAGCCTCAAAAAGCAGGGAGATTTTGCAGTGAGAGGTTCCATCGACTACCGGGTTTCGGCCTCCCCCGGATTCCGTGGATCGCGCTTTACAGCCCTGGGGCCAAGGGTTATGGGTGTGGGTGTAGGTGTGTGTCCGACTCCCGCCAGCTTCCCTGGTGAGTGTGATTTGTGCTCAGCTGGAACAGAGGTGAGTGGCCTGGAGACACTATTAAGTGTCAATGAATGGGACGAAGAGAGCCCTACTACTACTACTACACGTTTCGATCACTCCCCAAGGCCGCCAGCATTTGCTTCCGGATGGTCTACAGAACTTGGAGAGTTGGAATTTATCCATCCCTCCCGATTTGTTTGAAATCAGCCTTCTGGAAATCTGCAGTTGGAAAAAGGTGGTTCGCCGTACAAAACCTGTCCTTTGGGGAATAGGTTGTCCTCACTTTTCCGTGTATTCTCCCCTTTTTCTTTTTCCTCTTCTTTCTCCTAGGAAGCATTGAGTTTACTTAGGAAAAGTTAACAGTTCCTGTGACTTAACTGCACTTAAACCAAAAGAAAAGCAAATGTGTGTTCGAAAATTACACAAATAAAATAAGTTTTCTAAAACCTGTTTTTAACTTTTTTTTTTTTTAAAGGCACATTTTGCCCACTCAGGGCCAGTTATCTGTCTTGACAGCTGTAGCTAAGAAATTAGTCTTATGAAAATTAAACATTGACGCTTAAAGTTTGATGTATTATTTACTTATTTGTAGTGTTAAGTCAGCCCAGTGCATTGAATAATTTCATTTTATCTTGAAGGACAGGCATCTATTGGCAGCTTGGGGTTATTTTCCCCTTCAAGACAGTTACTAGTAATGATTAAGAATTTACATTTCTACCAATTCTTTAGGTGGTGTATATAGTTTCTCAAAATCATCAAGTCATTCCAAAGAAACTTAACCCTTTAAAGGAGGCATCAACATATAACATATACATTAAGGAAGACCAGGTTTTTTGTCTGTTTGTTTGTTTTTGAGACGGAGTCTCACTCTGTCGCCCAGGCTGGAGTGCAGTGGCCCGATCTTGGCTCACTGCAAGTTCCGCCTCCTGGGTTCACGCCATTCTCCTGCCTCAGCCTCCCGAGTAGCTGGGATTACAGGCGCCCACCCACCACGCCCTGCTAATTTTTTCTTTTGTTTGTATTTTTAGTAGAGACGGGGTTTCACCGTAATAGCCAGGATGGGCTCGATCTCCTGACCTCGTGATCTGCCCGCCTTGGCCTCCCAAAATGGTGGGATTACAGGCGTGAGCCACCGTGCCTGGCCCAAGGAAGACGAGGTTTTAAATCATAAAGATTCTAAAAGACTGCCTTGACATATCCTTCTTTTGTTTTGGGTTTTGTTTTTTTTTTTGAGTCGGAGTCTGGCTTTGTCATCCAGGCTGGAGTGCAGTGGGATGCTCTTGGCTCACTGCAACCTCCACCTCCCAGGTTCAAGTGATTCTCCTGCCTCAGCCTCCCCAGTAGCTGGGACTACAGGCACGTGCCACCACACCCAGCTAATTTTTTTGTATTTTTAGTAGAGGTGGGGTTTCACTGTGTTAGCCAGGATGGTCTCCATCTCCTGACGTCATGATTTGCCCGCCTCGGCCTCCCAAAGTTCTGAGATAACAGGTGTGAGCCACCGCGCCCAGCCTTGGTTTGGGTTTTATTGGCACAGAGGCATGATATGCCGCCTGAAGTTATTTAATTGGGTTGTGAATCAAAGCGTATGTGGCCAGTTTTTAAACATTGTCTCCTGTGTGCCAGATGGTGTCCTAGACACAAATGGTACAAGCCAGACTCCTAGATGTCCCTACTGTCATGTAGCTTATATTCTAGAGGGTGGGGTTACTGCTAGGTGGTTTTAATTAAGTGTGGAAAGGGTGAGGAGTACTGTGTTAAATAGGGTAGTCCGAGGAGGTGACACTGTAGAGTTCTGATGGAAATGCGAGAGCAAGCCACCACTGTCTCAGGGAAGAGTATAACAGGCAGTGGGAATAGCAAGGACAGACCTTGAGGTAGAAGCAGGTGTAGTGTGATGTAGGAAGAGCAAGGTGGCTGGAATGCAGTGGGTCAGTGGAGATGATGTAGAGCAGCAATGGGAAGCAAGGCACTTAGGGCCTTGTAGGCCATCGTAAGAACTTTGGGTTTGACCCTGATTAAAAGGGGAACTATAGGAGAGTTTTGAACAGAAGAGAGACATAGTTCCAGGAGATAAGTATACAAATAGGGCAGCAATGTCACTTAGTGGTTGTTATAGCTTCTCTAGGTAGACTCAGTTGAAATCTCACCCTATGTTTTTTTTTGATACAGAGTCTCACTCTGTCACCCAGGCTGGAGTGCAGTGGTGTGATCTCGGCTCACTGCAGCCGCCTCCTCCCAGGTTCAAGCAATTCTTGTGCCTTGGCCCTCCGAGTAGCTGGGACTACAGGCGCACACCACCACGCCCGGCTATTTTTGTTGTTATTGCTATTTTGTTGTTATTGTTGTTATATTGCTAGAAAAGATGGGGTTTCACCATGTTGGCCAGGCTGGTCTCGAACTCCTGACCTCAGGTTATCTGTCCGCCTTGGCCTCCCAAAGTGTTGGGACTACAGGCATGAGCTACCACGCCCAGCCCAGCGTTTCTATTTTATTAGCCGTGTGTCTGAGTACGACATCACTTCACTTCTGTCTCGTTAGTTTCCTCATCTGTAGATGGGATAAAAGCACTCCCAGCTTATAGGGTTTTTTGTTGGTTTGTTTGTTAGTTTTTGAGGATTAAATGAGCAGATATACCCAAATGTGCTTATAATAATACCTAGGCCAGGCACGGTGGCTCACACCTGTAATCCCAGCACTTTGGGAAGCCTAGGCGGGCGGATCACCTGAGGTCAGGAGTTGGAGACCACTCTGGCCAACATGGCGAGACCCCCGTCTCTACTAAAAATACAAAAATTAGCCGAGTGTGGTGGCACACATCTGTAATCCCAGCTACTCAGAAGGCTGAGGCAGGAGAATCGCTTGAACCTGGGGGGCAGAGGTTGCAGTGAGCTGAGATCATGCCACTGCACTCCAGCCTGGGCGACAGAGTTAGACTCCTTCTCAAAAAAATAATAATACCTAACAGCAAGAGCTCAATGAATATTAGCTCATAGCAACTTAAGGGTGCTTTAGAAAGAGTTGTTTTTTTCACTTGACTCTTGCCCAGCCCAATTTTCTTAAAATTTTTTTAGCTTTTCTTCACTCAGAAGTACTCAATAGGTCATGGTGAATCTACGCTAATTTGGGCATTTCCAGCCAATACCTATTGGTGGACTTGAAAATCAGTACTGATTAGGATGTACTGCTTTGGAAGCAAGCCAGCATTACATCAAATAAAAAACATTTGGTCTGTGGCATTGTGTTGTATTCATTGTTTTGCTTTTTGGGGGGTGTTCAGCAGATGGTGAGCACTGAGACAAACCTGTAGTGTTCAGCTGGAAAGCTATTTTCCTGGCCTCCAGCCACAACACTTTAACTCTTGCTGCCAGACTACCTGAGAGTGGGTTGATTGGACTTTAAGATCTCATCCTCCCTTATCCACGGTTTTGCTTTCCACAATTTTAGTTACATATGGTCAACTGCAGTCTGAAAATATTAAGTGGAAAATTCCAGAAATCAATAATTCATAAGTTTCTTTTTCTTTTTTTTTTTTTTTGAGACGGTCTTGCTCTGATGCCCAGGCTGGAGTGCAGTGGCGTGATCTTGGCTCACTGCAGCCTCTGCCTCCTGGGTTCAAGCAATTCTTCTGCCTCAGCCTCCCGAGTAGTAGCTGGGATTACAGGTGTGCACCACCATGCCTGGCTAATTTTTGTATTTTTAGTAGAGACGGGGTTTCACCATGTTGGCCAGGCTGATCTCGAACTCCTGACCTCATGATCCACCCTCCTCGGCCTCCCAAAGTGCTAGAGTTACAGGTGTGAGTCACCATGCCTGGCTCTCATAAGTTTCAAATTAAGCACTATTCTTTGTAGTGTAATGAAATCTCTTGCCATATTGCCTGGGACATGAATCATCCCAGCATGTTCACACTGTATATGCTTCCTATCCTGTAGTTACTTAGTAGTCATCTTGGTTATCAGAACAAACAGTATGTATAGGGCTCACTACTATCCAAGATTTCAGGCATCCACTGGAGGTCTTGGAACATATCCTCCCTTATCTGTGGGGACTACTGTACTCTTAAAAACTTTAGGATAAGGGGCTGGGCGTGGTGGCTTACGCTTGTAATCCCAACACTTTGGGAGGCTGAGGTGGGTAGATCATTTGAGGTCAGGAGTTTGAGACCAGCCTGGCCAACATTGTGAAACCCCCATCTCTACTAAAAAAAACAAAAAAAAATTAGCTGGGTGTGGTGGCAGGTGTCTGTAGTCCCAGCTACTCGGGAGGCTGAGGCAGGAGAATCACTTGAACACGGGAGGTGGAAGTTGTAGTGAGCTGAGATTGCTCCACTGTACTCCAGCCTGGGCGACAGGGTGAGACTCTGCAAAAAAAAAAAAAAAAATTTAGGATAAGGTCAAATGGCTGTAAGTGGAGGCTCTATCTTCTATTCCCTGTATCTTCTATTACCTGTATCTCTAGTCCCATAGCCCCATGACTTTGCTACACCCAAGGCACTTAGCTAAATCTGGAGAGTGGGCATTTTGGGATTAGGGATTCTTACATATTGTTTTCTATTATGTATAGCGAGTCGTTAATATTTGATGGAGTTTGTGAAAATCCATTTCCTTAGTTTTTAAAATTAAAAAAAATTGTATAGTTTGTACATCATAAAAATACCCCCAATATAAATGTACAGTTCAGTACATTCAGTGTAAATGTTCAGTAATTTTTAGTAAATTTATAGAGGCATGCAGCCATCATCACACTCTGGTGTATAATATTTCCATCCCTGCTAGAAAGTTCCTTCTGCCTGGTTGCAGTCAGCCCTGTTCCCATTCCTCGCCCCTTACGGCCACTGATTTGCTTTGTCACTATAGTTTTTGCCTTCTCCAGAAATTATTTCCTTAATAGCTTACCAATTTTATGTGTTTGATTTCTTAGCAAATTTCTCAGGTTCATCCACGTTAGTGCATGCTTTAGCAGTTCATTCTTTTTATTGAGCAGTAGTCTTTATTGCTTATCCATTCTCAGTTATAGGACATTTAGATTATTTCTAGTTTTTAGCTGTTGTGAATAAAGTGATAAAACTGTACAAGTTTTGTGTGAATATATGTATTCATTTCTTCAGTGTAGATAGCTAGATGTGGAATAACTGGGCAGTATAGTAAATTTATGTTTAACTTTTTAAGAAACCACCGAACTGTTTTCCAAAGTGGTTGTACCATTATACATTCCCACTGGCAGTGTTTGAAAGTCCTGTTTTTTTCTACCATCTTCACAAATATTAGGTATTTTCAGTCTTCCTATTTTAGTCCTTCTGGTGGGTGTGTAGTGGTATTATGCTTTTAATTTGCATTTCCCTAACGACTAATGCTGTTGGACATCTTTTTGTGTGCAGATTTGACATTCATGTTTCTTTTCTGGTGAAGGGTCTGTTCCAATCTTTTGCCCCATTTTTTTTTTTTTTTTTTTGAGATGGAGTCTTGCTCAGTCGCCCAGGCTGGAGCACAGTGGCACGATCTCGGCTCACTGCAACCACCGTCTCCCGGGTTCAAGTGATTCTCCCGTCTCAGCCTCCCGAGTAGCTGGGATTACAGGCACCTGCCATCATGCCCAGCTAATTTTTGTATTTTAGTAGAGATGGGGTTTCACCATGTTGGCCAGGCTGGTCTTGAACTCCTGACCTCAGGTGATTGCCCACCTTGGCCTCCAAAATGCTAGGATTATAGGCATGAGCCACTGTGCTCGGCCTCTTTTTGCCCGTTTTAGAATTGCTTTTTTTTGTTTTGAGATGGAGTCTCGCTTTGTCACTCAGGCTGGAATGCAGTGGTACGACCTTGGCTCACTGCAACCTCTTCCTCCGGGGTTCAAGCGATTCTCCTGCCTCAGCCTCCTAAGTAGCTGGGATTACAGGCATGCGCCACCATGCCCAGCTAATTTTTTGTATTTGTATTTTTATTTTTTTATTTATTTTTTGTATTTTTAGTAGAGATGAGGTCTTCACCATGTTGACCAGGTGGTCTCGTACTTCTGACCTCAAGTGATCCGCCTGCCTTGGCCTCCCAAAGTGCTGGGATTACAGATGTGAACCACCATGCCCAGCCTAAAATTGATTTCTTTGCCTTATTGAGTTATAGGATTATTTATTTATTTTTTTATTAATTTTTTTAGAGATGGGGTCTCACAATGTTGCCCAGGCTGGTCTTGAACTCCTGGGCTCAAGCGATCTGCCTGCCTCAGCCTCCTGAAGTGCTAGGATTACTGCACCTGGCCAAGAGTTCTTTTTTTTTTCTTTCTTTTTTTTTTTTCTGAGACAAAGTCTTGCTGCTCTTGTTGCCTAGGCTGGAGTGCAATGGCACGATCTTGGCTCACTGCAACCTCCACCTCCCGGGTTCAAGTGATTCTCCTGCCTCAGCCTCCCAAGTAGCTGGGATTATGGGCATCCACCACCATGCCTAGCTAATTTTTGTATTTTTAGTAGAGACTAAAAATTTTAGTTTTGCCATGTTGGCCAGGCTTGTCTTAAACTCCTGACCTTGTGATCTGCCTGCCTCGGCCTCCCAAAGTGCTGGGATTGCAGGCGTCAGCCACCGCACCTGGCCTAGAGTTCTTTATAAACTGAATAAAAGTCATTTATCAGCTATGTGATTGGCAAATATTTTCTCCCAGTCTGTGGCTTATCTTTTCATTTTATAATGGTGTCTTTTGAAGAGCAAAAGGTTTTAAATTTTATGAAGTCCAGTTTAGCACATTTTTTTCTTTTTCTTTTATTTTGTTAGGACAGTCTCACTCCATCACCCAGGCTGGAGTGTAGTGATGCGATCACAGTTCGCTGCAGCCATGTCCTTCTAGGCTTAAGTGATTCTCCCTCCTCAGCCTCCTGAGTAGCTGGGACCACAGGTGTCTACCACCATGTTTGGCTAATTAAAATAACTTTTTTTTTTGTAGAGACACGGGTCCCACTGTGTAGCCCAGGCTGGTCTCCAGCTCTTGAGCTCAAGCAGTCGTCACACTTTGGCCTTCCAAAGTGCTAGAATTATAGGCATGAACCACCACGACTGGTTGTGAAATATCCTTTTTTTTTTCATAGATGGAGACTTGCTCTGTTGACCAGGCTGGAGTGTAGTGGCGTGATCTTGGCTCACTGCAACCTCTGCCTCCCAGGTTCAAGCAGTTCTCCTGCCTTAGCCTCCCAAGTAGCTGGGATTACAGGTGGGTGCCACCATGCCCGCCTAATTTTTGTCTTTTTAATAGAGACGGGGTTTCACCATGTTGGCCAGGCTGGTCTCGAACTCCTGACCTTGTGATCTGCCTGCATCGGCCTCCCAAAGTGCTGGGATTACAGGCATGAGCAACTGTGCCTGGCCAAAATACCTTTTTATTTCATATTGAAGATGCAGCTTTTACGTGGGTGCGAGAGTGCTATAAGAAAGGCATAACTATAGACTCTAATATTTTTCGAGAAAAAGTCATTGTGTCTTAAAAGGAAGGTAAAGGATCTAAAGTTGGAGAATTTAATGCCAGCAAAGGATGGTTTGATAACTGTAGAGAGGTTTGGCTTAAAAAAATGTCAGGGTAACAGGAGAAGCAGCTTCTGCTGACCAAGAGGCGGCAAACAAGTTCCCAGATGCCATTAAGAAAATCATTGAGGAGAAAGGATATCTGCTTGAATGGGTTTTTAATGCAGACAAAAATGCCCTGTTCTGGGGAAAACAATGCCACAAAGGACATTTATGAGTAAGGAAGAGCAGTGAGTGCCAGGATTTAAGGCAGGAAGAGCTAGGTTAACTGCCGTTTTGTGTAAACACAGTCAAGTTTATGATCAGGACTACCCTGGTCTATAAAGCTGCTAACCTCTGAGCCTTCAAGGGAGAAGATAAAACACCAGCTGCCAGTCTGTTTTTACCAAAAGAAAGCCTGGATAATGAGAACCCATTTTCTTTTTTTTTTTTTTTTTTGAGAGGAGTCTCGCTCTGTGGCCCAGGCTGGAGTGCAGTGGCACGATCGCGGCTCACTGCAAGCTCTGCCTCCTGGGTTCACACCATTCTCCTGCCTCAGCCTCCCGAGTAGCTGGGATTATAGTTGCCTGCCACCACGCCCAGCTAATTTTTGTATTTTAGTAGAGACAGGGTTTCAGCATGTTGGCCAGGCTGGTCTTGAACTCCTAACCTCAAGTGATCCGCCTGCCTCGGCCTCCCAAAGTGCTGGGATTACAGGCATGAGCCACCGTGCCCGGCCAGGACTGCCTTTTAAAGTTTTTTTGACACAATGCCCCTGGCCACTGAGAATCCCATGAGTTCAACACTAGGCTTTGAAGTGGTCTACTTGTCCACAAACAGTGTCTCTAATCCAGCCTGTAGATCAGGAGGTCTCAAGGACTTTTTGAGAAAGAGTCTGGCTCTGTTGTCCAGGTTGGAGTGCAGTGGGGTGATCTCAGCTCACTTCAACCTCTGCCTCCCAGGTTCAAGCAATTCTCATGCCTCAGCCTCTCGAGAAGCTGGAATTACAGGCATGCTCCACAATGCCTGGCTAATTTTTGTATTTTTAGGAGAGATGAGGTTTCACCATTTTGCCCAGGTTGGTCTCGAACTCCTGGCCTCAAGTGATCTGCCTGCCTCAGCCTCCCAAAGTGCTGGGATTACAGGCTTCAGCTGCCGCACCTGGTCCAGGACTTTCAAGACTCATTACATGGGATACTCTGGAAAAGATTGTTAACACCAAGGAAGAGAATCCTGATAGAATGTAGTGAAAGTCTAGAGGGATTACACCACTGAAGATGCCATTGTTATGGAAAAAGCTGTGGAAGCCATCAGGCCTGAAACAATAAATTCCTGGTGGAGAAAACTCTGTCCAGATGTGCGTGACTTCATAGGATTTATGACAGAGCTGGTTAAGGAAATCATGAAAGAGATTGTGGATATGGCAAAAAAGGTGAAGGGTGAAGAGTTTTAAGGTACAGATCTTGGAGAAATTCAAGAGCTAATAGACACCACACCTGAGGAATTAATAGAAGATGACTTGATGGAGATGAGTGCTTCTGTGCCAGACAGTAAGGAATAAGATGTACAAGAAACAGGGGCAGGAAAAAATTGACATTAGACAATTTGCCAGAAGGGTTCCAATTATTCAAGACTTCCTTTAGCTTTGTTTATGGAATATGGAATGGAACCTTCTGTGATACTGGCACTGAAGTGAAAGCAAATGGTGGAAGAAGGATTAGTATTGTATAGAAATGTTTTTAGAGAAATGGAAAAGCAAAAAAGTCAGACAGAAATGAGGATGTATTTTTGTAATGTTACACCAGATGTGCCTGCCTCTCCTGCCTTCCTTTCCATGCCCTTCACCTCTTCTACCTCTGCTGCCCCAAGACAGCAAGACCAACCAACTCCTTTTCTTTCTTTCCCTCAGTCTACTCATCCTGAAGATGGGTGAAGACCTTTATGATGATGCACCTCCACTTAATGAATAGCAAATATGTTTTCTCTTATGATTTTCTTAATAACATTTTTTCTCTATCTTACTCTATTGTAACAATATAGTATGTAATACATAAAATATGTGTTAATTGACTTTCTGTTGTCAGTATGGTTAACAGGCTATTAGTAGTTAAATTTTGGGGGAGTCAGAAGTTATGTGCAGATTTTTGACTGCCCAGGGTGTCAGTGCCCTTAACCTTCACGTTGTTCAAGGGTCAAGTATATTATCTTATCTATTAACGTAGTAGAGCTTTCCATTTCTTTAGGGCTTCTTCAGTTTCTCTAAGCAGTGTTTTCTAGTTTCCAGTGTATAAATCTATAAATCTTGCCTTTTGATAAATTTATTCTTTTTTTTTGAGACAGAGTCTCACTCTGTCTCGCAGGCTTAAGTGCAGTAGTGCAATCTCGGCTGACGGCAACCTCTGCCTCCCAGGTTCAAGCAATTCTCCTGCCTCAGCCTCCTGAGTAGCTGGGATTACAGGCTTGCTTCACCATGCCTGGCTAATTTTTGTATTTTCAATAGAGACAGGGTTTCACCATGTTGGCCAGGCTGATCTTGAACTCCTGGCCTCAGGCAATCCACCTGCCTTGGCCTCCCAAAGTGTTGGGATTACAGGCATGAGCCACTGTGTCCAGCCTGATAAATGTATTCCTGTTTTCTTCTTCACGCCTGTAATCCCAGCACTTTGGGAGGCTGAGGTGGGCGGATCACGAGGTCAGGGGATCGAGTCCATCCTGGCTAACACAGTGAAACCCCCTCTCTACTAAAAAAAAAAAATACAAAAAACTAGCCAGGCGTGGTGGCAAGCGCCTGTAGTCCCTGCTGCTTGGGAGGCTGAGGCAGAAGAATGGCGCGAACCTGGGAGGTGGAGCTTATGGTGAGCCAAGATGGCGCCACTGCACTCCAGCCTGGGTGACAGAGCGAAACTTCGTCTCAAAAAAAAAAAGAATGGAATTGTTTTCTTCATTTCATTTTTGGATTGTTTGTCACTAGTGTATGGAAATACAGTTGATTTCTGTATGTTGATTTTGTATTTTGTATCCTTAGTACATTTGCATACTAGTTCTTATAGATCCCTTAGGATTTTCTACATATAAAACAAAATTTTTTTGTTTTGAGATGGAGTCTCTCTCTGTTGCCCAGGCTGGAGTGCAGTGGTGTGATCTTAGCTTACTGCAACCTCCGCCTCCCGGGTTCAGGCAATTCTCCTATCTCAGCCTCCTGAGTAGCTGGGATGACAGGTGCCTGCCACCACACCTGGCTAATTTTTATCTGTTTAGTAGAGATGGGGTTTCATCTTGTTGGTCAGGCTGGTCTCGAACTCCTGACCTCAGGTGATCCACCCGCCTTGGCCTCCCAAAGTGCTGGGATTACAGGCTTAAGCCACTACGCCCGGCCTGGCTGACAGTTTTATCAGGAATGGGTGTTGAGTTTTTGTTAAATATTTTCCCTTCATCTATTGAGTTAATTATGTGGTTTTTGTTCTTTATTCTTAATATAGTATATGGTAATATTACGTTATTTTCAGATATTAAGCCAATCTTGCATTCCTGGTATAAACCCCACTCAGACCCACTTAGTCTGGTGTAGAATCATTCTTACATGTTGCTAGTTTCAGTTTGTTAATATTT